>NT_167245.2:4371209-4604811 GCF_000001405.40 Homo sapiens
GGCCATCATTCCTATTTTCAACATCTAGAAATCAATTCCATAATGAGCATGTCTAAGAAATAATAATCTCAAATGCTATTCCACTTTTCCACTTCGCCACTCCTAGTCCAGCCTAGGGTGAACATCTCCCCTCCAAGAAGGAGCCCCAGCAGCACCACGACCTGCTTGTCTACCACGTGACAGATTTCTACCCAGACAGCATTCAAGTCCGATGCTTCCTGAATGGACAGGAGGAAACAGCTGGGGTCGTGTCCACCAACCTGATCCGTAATGGAGACTGGACCTTCCAGATCCTGGAGATGCTGGAAATGACCCCCCAGCAGGGAAACATCTACACCTGCCAAGTGGAGCACCCCAGCCTGGACAGTCCTGTCACCGTGGAGTGGAGTGAGGGTCTGATGACCCTCTAGACTCCACCTCTGAAGAGCAGGGGACTCTCTGGCTCTGGGGTCCACTCATCTGGTTTTATGTGTCTATACCCTGGGACCATGTCCGACCCCATTTTTCTTCTATAGAAGACACTGAGTGTAGTTTTAACCTGGGGACAATGGAGACTTGCCTGCCCCCGGCCTAGGAGGTCCTAAGGATTCATAGTTCCTCTCCTTGTCCAAGAATCTAGGGATGCAGACACCTTCCTGAACTGACGTTACACATGGGAACTGTTGTCTTCCTTCAGCCTTTTAGCTTATTCTAAGTTATTTTGAGAGGCAACTAATTGAATCTGAATTTGTCTGTTGTTGAGGTCACACCCTCTGTTCTAGAATTGAGAGAGTGACTGTTTCTCAGTTTCCTGTCATGCAAGGTGTATTCCCCTCGCTCTCCTCGTGCCAATATTCTGCATCAGGCTGCAGGATCTCAGACAGGACATGAGCAGGGGTGCAGCTGCTGGAGGTGACTCTGAACCTGAGCCTGTTCTTCCTAGAGGCACAGTCTGATTCTGTGCAGAGCAAGATGCTGACAGGAGCCAGGGGCTTCATGCTGGGGCTCATCATCTGTGGAGTGGACATCTTCACGCACAGAAGGAGGAAGAAAGGTGAGAAATCCTGTGAGGTGACCGATACCCACCTTTCTCCTGACTTGCTCACCCTTCTTCCATGATGAGGGGCTGAGACAAAAAAGCAATGCCAGAGAGCTTGCTGAAATCACATAGTCAGGAAACAAAGACAGCTTCTAAGGAGAGAGGAATCCCAGCCTGGCATCTTAATGCAGCCAGATGCATGAGGTCCCAGTTACTCAGGCTCCTGCAGAGCGTCCATTGAGTGATGGACAATGGAAGTATGATGGAAACGTTTCTCTAATTGTCTGAGGTGGTTTCAGTAGCTGAATACATTCTCTTTCTTCCTTTCATTTCAGTTCAACAAGGATCTGCATAAACAGGCAATATTCCTGCTTTGATTTCCTTGTTGGGGGAGTTACAGGAGGACATAAGTCCTTTCTGTACATTGTGACACTGAGGCTCCTCTAGGAAGAGAGTCTCAGGCCTGAACCCCTGTTTCAACCTCAGCCCTGGGGTGAGTGGGGAAAGAGCATTGCATGGCTCCATTGCTAAAGGAAGCTCAGATCAACTCTATTCTTTATCAGCCTGAGATTCAGCCTCTCACCGTTATTTTTCTCTCCTGGGACTTAAAGGAAGGGGGCCAGCAACCTGGGATTACTGTTTTTTACCTCCACAGGGTTGCTGACCTTGCCTAAAAGACTAATGTACCTTGGAACAAGCATTTTCTGTTTCTTTAGTCCCAGTACCTGCTTCGAGGACAGACCCCCAGCCTCCCAAGAGGATGCTGCTGCTGAGTAGTTGCACTGAAGCCAGTTTCTATCATTCTGTTCCTGGATTCAATGCATGATTTCTCTCATGGGGCCTCCAACCAAGTTCCTTTCTCCTTAGTGCCATGAGTAATCAAAACCCAACATGATTGTTTTCTGTTAAGAATATACACCAAGTCATGTCTCATCACTTTTTTTTCTTGAGGGTTTTAGCAAACAGTAAGAGTTAATAAAGAAGTTCATTGTGGTTTAGACATAAGAAAGAAGAAAACCATGAAAATCCATCCAAACTATTGTATAAGGTGGCCTGTTGGACATAGACCTCTCCTGGATTTACTATATTTCAGTGAGCTGCCCCATCCTCATGTTTGGTGTCTTCATCCATTTAGGTCTGAAACCACTATTCTTAGCTATTCAGTGGTGAACAGACTGCAAATCTGTGTTATAGGGCCCATATTAACATAGCACTGATTCAACATATAACTTACTAAGAGCATGTTTTAGCATTACTGTTAAGAAATTAAATAAGCATCAGAATTTAAAACGATAAATATAATCTAACACACTTTCAACACTTTCTTTGCATGCCATCACAAATACTCCTTAACCAAATGTTGCTTGGCCTTTTGAATGCATCAAGTAGACGACATTTATCCTCTAAGTCTGCATTCATTCACCAGCCTAGACCTCCTGAGCTAATAATTCATACAGTGAGAAACGCCTCCCCATTGTTGAAAGTGCAAAGCAATAGGTGTGGCACTCTTTCAAACACTGATCTTTTTTTTACAATCCAAAATTTTTATGTGTTTTGCATTTCATATTAAGTTACTGTAAATCAAGGTAGAAGACATGTTTGGTCTAAGCTTTCCTTTTCGTGTAGAGGATGGATTCTTAACTCCTGATACACATAATGAGCACTCAGTGGCTCTCTGATACATCCAGTTGTTGGCTTCCTTCTCCCTGACTTCTCACAAGCAGCTTCTGGGCCTTGTGTGCCCCTGGGCGCCTATCCCTGGTCAGTTTACCAGAGCTACCCGTGTTCCTCTCACTATCCAATCAGAGTCATCTCCTTCCATTTTTGTCCCCTGGACGCATGCTGTAGGTGTCAGCCGTACCCAGAGTGGAGTGAACAATCTGCAGACTAACTCTTGCAGGATGCAAAACTGAGGTATCTGCACCCATAATGCACCTGTATCCTACAATTACAAGTCCAGGATATGCATTCCTAGGAAACTGAGAATATAAGGAGTCACAGAAAGGCATCAGATGTGTCTAGCTCTGACATACACAGGTATTTATTGAACTCTGGGATTTCTCAGGAAAAATGCAGTGCAGAGAAAGGTCCCTGATGAGACCACAGCATACAGACCATCCAGTGTGGGCACCACCTTGTCACTACACTTTAAATTCTTCATATTGATTGAGTGCTATCTAAATGTCAGACCCTTTGCTGAGTGCTAGGTGCAGGAGGATCATAGGCAGCCAGGAGGTAGAGGGGTCTTGGGGTACATAAGTCATTGTGGTTGAAGAGCAGAGATTCAAAAGAAAGTTAGGCCTGGAGATTTAAAGGAGACCGAAGCTGGTGACTTCCTTATGTCAACTTCTGACTGAGAAAGTTTGACACCTGGAGTAGAATAAACACACTGGGGTTAGGACTGCCAGCTTAGTGTTTTGTCCCCCATCCCTTTCCATCCCTGGTCCCTTCATTTTCTGCCCCTCACAGTGTGAATAAACTCTCACAGATGCCAGACCATCTCCTTCTTGTCCAGGTGCACAAATAACTGCTCATCTTCATCAGATTCAAACATATACTCCCCAGAGGGTCTGTGTGTCTGCACAAACTCTGCATACGTTGACACATGGTCTGCTGCTTGAAGGGGAAGAAGACTGCAGAATGAGGAACACATAGGAAAGTACACAGAATACAAGAAGCAAGCAGGTAATGGGAAAGTTTTTAAGAATGCAAGGGAATAACACAGAAAATGAGAAATGCAAAAATGAATGAAAAGAAAAGGAATGGGGATAAACAATGATAGAAATGACTCATAGAAGATTTCAGTTGTTTCCCTGGTCTCTGAAGACTTACACAACCCTCACATCATTCCAATAATGATAACACTGAACACAATCAGAAAATATTCACTGAACATGTACCATGTGCTCAACTTATTCATTGAATCCTCACACTTCCACGTAGAAGTGTTCAAAGAAGGCCAGGCGCGGTGGCTCACGCCTGTAATCAGCCGGGCATGGTGGCAGGTGCCTGTAGTCCCAGCTACTCAGGAGGCTGAGGCAGGAGAATGGCGTGAACCCGGGAGGTGGAACTTGCAGTGAGCTGAGATCGCGCCACTGCACTCCAGTCTGGGAGATAGAGCGAGACTCCTTCCCCAAAAAAAAAAAGTGTTCAAAGAAAAACTTCTGGCCAGGCACGGTGGCTCATGCCTGTAATCCCAGCACTTTGGGAGGCCGAGGCAGGTGGTTCACTTGAGGTCAGGAATTCAAGATCAGCCTGGCCAACATGGTGAAACCCCTTTGTCTCTACTAAACCTCTTTGTCTCTACTAAAGATACAAAAATTAGCCAGGCATGCTGTCTGTAGTCCCAGCTACTTGGGAGGCTGAGTCAGGAGACTCACTTGAACCGGGAGGAGGAGGTTACAGTGGGCTGAGATTGCGCCACTGCACTCCAGACTGGGTGACGGAGTGAGACTCTGTCTCGAAAAAAAAAAACAGAAAAAAGAAAAAAAGAAAAACTTCAGCTGAATTCAATATAAAAGAGTCAAATTGAGCAATGAACGATTCGTGAATCAGGCAGCCTCCCGAGGCAGAGTAGGCTCAGAGACTCCATTGCAGGCATGTGGTGGAAGATTTATGGACAGAAAAAGGAAAGTGACATACAGAAAACAGAAGTGAGGTACAGAAACACCCAATTGGTTACAGCTGGGTGTATCCTTATTTGAACACAGTTTGAACAGTTGGCTACATATGATTGGCCGAAACTTGGTGATTGACACAAGTGTAGGCTGTTTACACCTCCACTTGTTATAGTTCACGATGTACAGAGAAACCTTTAGGCCAAACTTAAAATATGTAAGGAGGCAGCTTTAGGCTAAACTTGATTTAACAATTTTCCTCTTTTGGTAATCTTCTCAATTTTTAGAGATTTACCAAAACTTTAGTCATCGATGCCACTATCACCATTGTAAATGTACTTATTTGGTCTTGAAACCCCCTGGGAAATAGCAGAACAATGAGTTTTGTAAGGGGGAACAAGGATTTCAGGTTATTTTATTTTATTTTAATTTTATTTTTGTAAGGGTTACCTCCTTTTGTTGGAACGTTCTGTTTATAGGAGAAAAAAACAAAACCTGGTCTGTTTTAGGATCTATGTGTTTCCTTAAAGTCTTAGTTTAATCATGTCACATTTAGCACAAGTGACTCCATTTTGGTTTGGTCTGGTCTGTTGGGGCTTAGTGCATTTAGCCTTTCATTAAAGTCCAAAACAATGGCCTCCCATGATTTTGTTTAAAAATGTCCCCTTTTTGGTCAGGTTCTCACTTAGGTGAGAATGTGACCAAAGCTTAGGGCCTTAGCGCCACTCTCAGTTACCATCATTTTGGGTTTCCAGTCTCAACACATCATTCATAGGTTAAAATGCCATCATGGTCACACATTTCTTTCAATCTTGTCATTCTAGTTGAAGAGAGACAATTTGACATTCTAGAGATGGCTGCATGCAAACATTTAAAACTTTCGAGAGAATACAGTGCACCAGGTAGACTACTATTATGACTATCAGGAGGATAATACCAAGAGTTTGGAGTATGCTCCTTACACAGGGTCCCCATAAACCAAACCACCCAAAATTAAATAGATCAAAGAATGAGCTAAATAAAGAGTTTACTCATTTAAGCAGTCTCTTCATTAATTACCTACAACTGAATCTCTGTACACCTGACGTGATGTATTTCTCCATAGGCCACAAGTGCCAGCAGCTGCACAGATACTTCTCTGTTTAGCCAGTAAGTAATCTACAGCAATCCTACTATTAAGCATAACTTTCACAAAAGAATGTAAAATCTGTTGTGTAACCATCGCCCTTACAGTAGACTCTGTTTAGAGCCTATCATGAGGGATACATTTCTAATCATTGCCTGTTTTACTCCAAATCATGGTAAAAAGGACCTAAGGAAAAATGCCCTTCTAGAAGACTGAAGGCCTCCTGGCAATGTTCTCTTTAACCCATGATGTGGAATAGGGGAGTGAATCAATGTTCTGTTTCTGACTGATTATGAGGCAACCTATGTACCATTAAAATTTCTCACCTACACTGGGCCTTCATCTTTCATCTATCAAGGTGTGAGGTTATCCATGTATAAGGCTGGCTGCAAAACCCTTCACCAATAAAAGTATACCTACCCCATAAGTGCACACAACAGACCCCCTTTTCACTTCTACTGTTCATAGAGGCATCAGCAAGGGAAAAAATACTCAGAGATAAGAGCCTCCATATAGCAGAGAAGTCTTGATCTGTGATCTTGGTGAAAGCTGTTCACATCAAGGATACCATCTTCTTCTGGGAAGAAACTTCCCTGGTTAGCTTTACCTTACGGGTTCCAATGGGTGTATATTTCCAAGAATGTGGAGGGATCCTTCTCAGTTGTGAGATCATGAAGCCAAAGTTCACGGTTCTGATGTTTACTGCAGTGTGGATGGCAAGGGCAGTCTTTCTCTGATGTTCTCAGAAGATCCAATCTTCAGGTTCTAGATTGTGAAGGGGTTGATTGTCCTCAGTCAGTGAACCATAAAAAGCTTTCTTTACCTGGTGAAAATACACTGTGAAATAATAATCTACTGTTATAACATCAGTTCACTTGTATAGGAAAGCTTTTACACAACCAGAAAACATGCATTGAAAATGACAATTGACTGAAATCTCTTCATAAATGTTTAAATGGCTCATGAGGTAGCAGAATGTACCTGAAGCTTTGATTGTCTTCCCAGGAATATGGGTTTGGCAAACCAAACATTGGTCATAAACTATTTTAGCAATTTAGAAGTCACCACACCAATATGCATTTAACTTGGATCATTTTATCTTTTCCATGATGAGTCATGGAATGCAGAACTTTA
Source organism: Homo sapiens (assembly GCF_000001405.40). Classification (NCBI taxonomy): domain Eukaryota; kingdom Metazoa; phylum Chordata; class Mammalia; order Primates; family Hominidae; genus Homo; species Homo sapiens. The sequence continues at coordinate 4,378,105 of NT_167245.2, forward strand.
AATTATAAAAGCTTTAAAAGCTCAGGAAGGATAAGGCAGCCACCTTGGTTCTCCATGAGTCCATGCTTGACACGGTTGTTTCTCCAATTGAGGTGCATAGCACTGATAACTGATGGGTTATCATAGGTAATTTGAGTTAGACCACAGAGTTTCTTCAAATTGTGTATCTAAACAATTTCAGTATTGGGTGATTTAGCATGAAAGACTTGCAAAGTATTTTCTTGGTATTCAATTAATTTGTGTTCTACTTGGGATGGCAGTTTTATAAACCAGTCAGTCTTTTAAGCTCCAGGAAGCAGGAGAATGGCGTGAACCTGGGAGGCGGAGCTTGCAGTGAGCCAAGATCGTGCCACTGCACTCCAGCCTGGGTGACAGAGTGAGACTCCGTCTCAAAAAAAAAAAAAAAGCTCCAGGAATTCTTACCCAGTAAAAATGATATGATTCTAAAGTTATCAGAAACCTGTAATCAAGAATACTTTTTGGGGTCCTTTCCATCCTTTCAGGAACCTCCTAAAAGACACCATATTCTAGAATTGTGCCTACTTGTGAAGTTTTCAGAAATTGCACCAGCATTAAGCAATTAACTGTGGAAATGACCTTCCTTCCTTCCCTCCTTCCTTCCTTCCTTCCTTCCACTCTCTCTCTCTCTTTCTTTCTTTCCTTTATTTTGAGACAGAGTATCACTCTGTCACCCATGTTGGAGTGCAGTGGTGCAATCTCGGCTCACTGCAACTCCGCCTTCCAGGCTCAAGCAATTCTCATGCCTCAGACTCTCCAGTAGCTGGAACTGCAGGTGTGCAGCACTGCACCAGGCTAATTTTTGTATTTTTAGTAGAGACTGGGTTTCACCCTGTTGGCCATCCCCAAAAGGATATTTAGCCTTAGATTTTGAGAGGGATCTATCTGCTTTTGATTCCTGGTGTTTCAGGAGGAAAACCGAGTTATATCCCAAAGCAGGATCGTAGTGCCTCCTCTGTTTTTCCCAAGGAGTCCCAGGCTGTTAGAAGTTACCTTAGGTCCTCTCATGTGTGCAACAAAAGTGGCAAGAAGACAAAATGGAGAAAAACAATTCAGTTGGCTAAAAAGAAAAAAATAATTAAAAAAAAACAAAGATCCAAGAAGAGAAAAAACCAAAAGGCCCTTTAAACATACCTATAGCTTGGATATCCACTTTTAATTAAGCTGACTTTTAACTATAGCGCTCTTTCTAAAAAAAAAAAAAAATTATTTGATTGTTTTTAGAGACGGAGTCTTGCTCTCTTGCCCAGGCTGGAGTTCAGTGGTTCAATCTCAGCTCACTGCAACCTCCGCCTCCCAGGTTAAAGCGATTATCCTGCCTCAGCCTCCTGAATAGGTGGGACTACCAGTGCGAGCCACCACATCCAGCTAATTTTTGTATTTTTAGTAGAGACAGGGTTTCTCCATGTTGGTCAGGCTGGTCTCAAACTCCTGACTTCAGGTGATCCATCCTCCTTGGCCTCCCAAAGCGCTGGGATTGCAGGCATGGACCACTGCGCCCAGCCTAAAATAATCATTTTAAATCTCTTATTACTTGACTTTAGCCAGGCCAAACAGCCAATATGTCTGGCTTTTGAACTTTACCAAAGGTAATCTCCCAGGTGAAACCAATAAGCTTTAACAAGGTTATGACTTAACCACAAGTGTACGAAGTATTTTCAAAAAGGTAGCAAGCAATTTTTACAAACTCTAGAATTTCCAAACGTAGCTCAGAGAAAGGAAAATTCAAGACGAGAGTCAGAAGTTGTTCATGAGGGGAAGAGAATCAGCAAATAGCAAAGATCAGAAAGATATCAAACCAAACAGGTCTCATTCCCTGAGCTGGAATTGAACCCTGCCTGGCTGCCATCATAAGATGGCAAAGCTTAGCCACTAAGCTACACCGTTGGTGGTTTCCATTGTTCCTCCCAGAAGGAGGAGCCTAAGAGCAGCCAATTTTCAGCTTGCAAAGGCTTTTAACTGCTCAAGATAATTTTTAGAGCTAACTATGACATGAACTCCAAAATTCCTGTCCTCCAGAGGGTGGAGACCAAAAGAAAGTACCATCATGTGATTATAAGGTCAAGCTCCCAATGACATAAAACAAGATGACAGGGAAACCTTATCCAGTGTTTTTTTGTTTCAGGGACCCGCAGTTTGTAACTGACCAGTTTGCCAGGCTGGCTTGAACAGCAGACTTCTGGGAGTCCTAGGCCCACATTTTATCCTATTTAACCCCTTTTATGACCAAATGACACAGAAAGACCAATTCATAGCACAAAGTACACCAGGTTTGCTACAGCTTAAGATTGGCTCACAAATACCTTTTTTTTTTTTTTTTTTTTTTTGAGACGGAGTCTCGCTGTCGCCCAGGCTGGAGTACAGTGGCGCGATCTCGGCTCACTGCAAGTTCCACCTCCCGGGTTCACGCCATTCTCCTGCCTCAGCCTCCCGAGTAGCTGGGACTACAGGCGCCCGCCACCTCGCCCGGCTAATTTTTTGTATTTTTAGTAGAGACTGGGTTTCACTGTGTTAGCCAGGTTGGTCTTGATCTCCTGACCTCGTGATCCACCCGCCTCGGCCACCCAAAGTGCTGGGATTACAGGCGTGAGCCACCGCACCCAGCCTCACAAATCCTTTTTATCATTAATTAAAACTTTGCAGAGGAGACAGTGATTTTTACTACTCCTACAACCGTTTCCACACAGAGAGAGGCCAGAAGCCTGACTGCTAAGAAATTCTTACCCTTTTGCCAGCATGCCAGGCTTCTGGGTTCCCTCTTTCTGAGTGGCCCTAGCGACCCTGTTAGCTGCACATAGCCTGGGGGCCAAGCCACAACACAAAGGAAAATCATCTTTTCTGATTTCAGGGAACCATAGGCAAAAGCCTCTCAATTTTGTAAGATGCTGCCCAAGAGATTGCATGAGGGAACTGAATTAACATTTTCCCTTCCAGCCACAGCAAAATACATGTGACAAAACATAGACATTAGCCACTCTGCTTAGTGCCCAATATTGAACTGGTAAGGCTTAAACTTGCCCCTGGTGGGGCTCTGCTATCTTTAATCTATTCAAAGTGGGGTGGAATGGCCTCCAGCCAGAAGTTTCAACATGTGATCTCTAGACAAGATATAATAGAAAGCTGGAAAAAGGAGGCCGGGCGTGGTGGCTCACGCCTGTAATCCCAGCACTTTGGGAGGCCGAGGTGGGCAGATCACGAGGTCAGGAGATCGAGACCATTCTGGCTAAGACGGTGAAACTCCGTCTCTACTAAAAATACAAAAAAAAAAAAAATTAGCCAGGCGTGGTGGCGGGCGCCTGTGGTCCCAGCTACTCCGGAGGCTGAGGCAGGAGAATGGCATGACCCTCGGAGGCAGAGCTTGCAGTGAGCCGAGATCGCACCACTGCACTCCAGGCTGGGTGACATAGCAAGACTCCGTTTCAAAAAAAAAAAAAAAAGAAAGATAGAAAAAGGAAAGAAGAGAAAGAGAGAAAGAAAAGCATTGTCTGCAGCAGGGTGGGGAAGGCAAAGAGTTCAGGGAGGACAGAGAAGGACCCACCTATTGCAGTGACACTAAATTAAAAGTTCAGGGCCAGGTGCGGTGGCTCATGCCTTTAATCACAGCACTTTGGGAGGCCAAGGTGGGCGGATCACCTGAAGTCAGGAGTTCGAGACCAGCCTGACCAACATGGTGAAACCCTGTCTCTACTAAACACAAAAAATTAGCCAGGCATGGTGGTGGGCGCCCGTAATCCCAGCTACTCGGGAGGCTGAAGCAGAAGAATCACTTGAACCCAGGAGGCGGAGGTTGCAGTGAGCTGAGATTGTGCCACCGCACTCCAGCCTGGGAGACAGAGTGAGACTCCGTTTCAAAAAAAAAAAAAGTTCAGGCAGCTGCTTGTCAGTCATGAAGGATCTTTTCCAGCCATCTCATCAGCTCTCAAGTTTCCTGCTTTGGGGAGAAAAAAGTTCCCCATGTCCCATGATCCTGTACATGCCTAATCCTGTCACACACAGCCATCAGCAAAAAGCGCAAGGCAGATTTAATTTTTTAAATCAATTAGTTGTTTAAGCTTTTTAATTCTTTTTTGTAAAGTCTTTAAATGCAAATATTGAAATTTTTTAGAAGCTTCTGCATATCAATAGGCATCCCTACATGAGACTGTACATGAGACTAATTTGGGAGCCCTCATTTTCAAATGCACTTCAGTGCAGTGTTGTTCTTTTGGAATGTTCTACTGCAAGTTATCTTTAGTAAAAAAAAAAAAAAAAATTTTATTTGAGACACAGTCTCTGTCACCCAGGCTGGAGTGCAGTATTATGATCTCAGCTCATGGCAGCCTCCACCTCCTGGGTTCAAGTGATTCTTGTGCCTCAGCCTCCCGAGTAGCTGGAATTACAGGCACATGCCACCATGCCTGGCTAATTTTTTTTTTTAATTTTTAGTACAGACAGGGTTTCACAGTGTTGGCCAGCCTGGTCTCAAACTCCTAGCCTCAAGCAATCTACCCACCTTGGCCTCCCAAAGTGCTGGGATTACAGGTGTGAGCCACCACGCCTGGACAATTTCTGTAAGGCGTTGCTCCTTCCAGGGCCTAATACTTATGCATGTATAATCCAGAAGGAACTCAGTTCTTCAGAAATTCAGTATCACATTTTTTACCTCAAATACTGGCTTTGCTCTCAGGTCCCTTGTTCAACTTAGCCAATGATTTTTTTTCCTACCTAAGTGCACAAGAAAAATAAAGGAGTAGAACATAAAAATCTCTGTGAATTTCCAAAAGCCAAATTTTACACCTTTGCAATATTGCCATTTAATACTGGTTTCTTTCTGATCCAGTTAGATGTAAGAGGTCTCTAACCGGATCCAAGCCAGTTAATTACTGGAGCCAATCCGATCCTGGACTCAGTTCAATTTCTTTCGCGACTTTCAAACCCAATCAGGATCAGAAATTTACTCAAAGAAACTCAGAGAGCTCAACACACAAATCTGTGGAGCTTCGGAATCTGCAAGAGAACTTACCACGATCCCCAGCTGCTCCGAGAGAGAAAGAGACACAATGGGCCTGGAGGGTACCTCGCTAGGTCACTCAGCACTTCTGGGGGTCATTAGAAGCTCTACTTCCAACCCCACTTCTGACACCACCTGATAAAAGAAAAACTTCAGCCGAATAAATTTTAAATGAGGTTAATTGCGCAATAAACAATTCACAAATCGGGCAGCCTCCCAAGCCAGAGTATGCTCAAAGTCTCCAGCACAGCTGCGTGGTGGAAGAAAGTTTATGGACAGAAAAAGAAAAGTAACATACAGAAAACAGAAGTGAGGTACAGAAACAGCCAGATTGGTTACAGCTCAATGTTTGCCTAACTTGAACACAGTTCAAACAGTTAGCTACATATGATTGGCCAAAACTCAGTGATTGGCACAAGTGTAGGCTATGGTCTGTTTACACCTCCACTTGTTATAGTTCATGATGTACAGAGAAACCTTTAGGCCAAACTTAAAATATGTAAGGAGGCAACTTTAGGCTAAACTTGATTTAACAGAGGAAATTATTTTACATATTGGGGAACTGACCACAGAAGTAAAGTAACTCACCCAAGTCACACAACTCCTGGTAGAAACAAAATTGCGTAGTCCCCCTACCCCATTCCCATAGGATCTCAGAACCCCTACAGGACCAGACATAAAAAATACTGATATAGCCACAGAGAAAGGCAGGGAAGTAGGGAGATGAAATAAAAATCTTTCAGGGAAAAAAATAATGAAGGACATGAAAAGACCTCCAGAGTAAGTCTTAGTGCTATTTATAGACTTCAAGTTATGTTCTTACTTTTAGAATAAAAATGGTACCTTATATAATTTTATCAAAACACTTTCATTTTAAGTCATAGTAAATTTAAAAATGTTGTCATGCACATAACATTCACAAAATGTTCTTGTTGAATGTATATTTTCAAGTGTAGTTCTACCTGGAAATAAAAGTTGTTGCATTTGAAACACCTATGGGATAGTATCTTAGCTTTACCTGATGTATAAGACGCAGCAAAAGGTTGACAACAAAAAAGTCTATTACTATTACAGTAAAAGAATAAAGATGAGAGAGCATGGAGTCCAGCCTGGAAGAGGAAGTGAGGCGAAATGACACTGCATGGTTGTTGGTCCTAAGCAAGGATTTCCCCTCCAAGCCCAACACGGGGAAAACCAGTCCTCTCCTTGGATGCGTCAAGTGACGGCAAGTTCAGTGTCACACACGGATGTTGAGGGTCCTCCACTGAGTTTATGGGCTAGAGAATTACTCACCTACAGAAACGAAGCCCAAAGAAAAAACAGATGAAAAACATGATATACAAGCTGTGCTACAGAGATGTCGTTTGTTCACCTTAGGTTACTTTGTTTTTATTATATTCACAAAGCCTAAAACTAAAGGTCCGTGCATTTTAAAGCAAATTCCACCTTCAAATGTTAATTTTCATTCTGTTAAATAAACACTCATTGTGAATTTTCACTCTTTAGGCACTAAGGATGTAACTCAGAAGACCTGGGCCTTGTCCTCAAGCTGCTTGAAATCCAAAATCCAAAGAGACAAAGAAAAGAAGATTGCTACATGTGTATTTTATTTTGTGTTTTTTAATCTTTTATTTCCATAGGTTATTTTGATCACCACTGAGTACCATAAGATATACACTGGAGCCACTCAGGAGCATAAAGAGGGCATTTTTGAAAAATGAGATTTAGGAAAGGTTCCTAGGGATAGTGTTTACCTGAGGTTAGCAAAACAGAGAAAGGGGAAATGACATGTCCAGCAGGAGAAGCAGGCTCAGGAGCAGAGAGGCATGAAGTTGCAAGGAGAACTGCAGTTCTTCAGTGTGACTGAAGCCAGGGGAGATGTGCGCCGGGCGGCACTGTAACCTGCCTTGTGTGCTGATGGCAGGTGTTTGCATTTTATCCCACAGGACATAGGAAGTTGTGAAGCATCTTAAGCAGGACAGTAACATGATGAGATTTGTGTTTGGAGGGGGCAGCAGTAGGGAGGATGGGTTGGAGGAGGCTGGTTTGAAAGCAAGACCAATAGGACTCTTCAGCCATCAGATGGGAAGTCATGAGGGTGTAGGCAGGGGCAGGAACATGGGGTGAGGCGGACAGCGGATGGGTTTGAATGGCAATAATGAAACGAAAAGCCACAGGAATCACTAAATCATGTGCCAGAAGTAGGGATATGAAGGAGTCCAGAATACCCAACGTGGAGAACTGGGGCATCAGTGACTGCAAAGGTAATGAAAAATGAAATAATCGAGAGAAGGTAAGATGTTCTGTTTGGAACATGCTTAGTTTGAATTTCTGTGGGAACAAATGGAGTTAATCTGAGGATAGTGAGCTAAATGGTTGGGTCCCAGGGTACACTAGGTTAGTGACACAGACTGGAAGGAAGCTCATTATAAGTGAAGTTCTAAATTTGGATCAGGTCACTCAAGAAAAGTACATAAAGTCAGAATAGCAAGGGTCTGAGTGTGTGCTCCTGCATCCAGACAAACACAGACATGAAAAAAGAGGCTGAAAAGGAGAAGACTAGAAAGTAGGAGGAAAACAAAGAGGAAGTGGGTTCATAAAAGACAACAGACAGGAGAAAACATCCAGGAAAGAGGAGCGGACGCATCACAAACACACTCATGACACACAAGAGATAGAGACAGAGAAGTGATCACTGGTTTGGGTTGTATAAAGGTCACCCTGAGAGCAGCATCAGAGACATGGGGAAGAAAAAGGGAGAATGCAGTGGGTTGAAGACTGAATGAAATGAGAGAGAGTCACTAACGGGCTGGGTGTGGTGCCCCACACCTGTAATCTTAGTGCTGTGAGAGGCTGAACAGGAGGATCACTTGAGGCCAGGAGTTTGAGACCAGCCTAGGAAATACAGTGAGACTCCATCTCTAAGGGGAAAAATATATATATATATATATATATATATATATAATTATCCAGGTGTAGTGACAGACACCTGTAGTCCCAGTTACCCAGGAGGCTGAGGTGTGAGGATCCCTTGAGCCTGGGAGTTCAAGGTTGCAGTGAACTGTGATCACGTGATTGCACTCCAGCCTGGGCAACAGAGCAGGACCCTGTCGAGAGAGAGAGAGGAGAGAGAGAGAGAAAAGAAGAAGAAGAAAAAGAAGAAGAAGAGGAGGAGGGGGAGGGAGAAAAGGAAGGAAGGAAGGAAGGAAAAAAACCCACATTGCAGACTCCTATTTGAGGAAGCTGACCTCTACAATCTACGAGAGAATCTCCAGAGGAGGTTGCCAAGCCCTGGCTCTTCTCTCTTCAGCGAGAGGACGTGGGGGAAAGGAGACATTTATGAATCTCTTTGAGTCTCAGTCTTTTCATTTCTAAAATTGTGTTAATAAAAGCCTTTCTGAAAATGGTGTTGTGAGGAAGGACATGAGGTTTGGCACTTAGGGGGTGTTCAGTAAATGGTGGTTATTATTGTTAGAATGAGAGAAAGCAAAAGAGAGCCTCAGGCAAAACAGTAAAGAACAGAGAAAACAGAACAGGAAAGAAAACAGCATCTGTGGGCTCCAGAAGCGCCCAGAGCCCCCACCCTCCCTCGCCCACCTGCGCACTCACCCCTGATGGCCCAGGTTCCGAGAGGCTAAGCAGGGCAGCCAGGGCCATGGCTCACAGGAGGATCCTGGCTCTGCGCTGGCTCCTTCAGTCTTTAGGGTGTATTGCAATGGCCACTGTGCGCCAGACCCCAAGGAGAAAATGAGGCGGCGCAGGGACGGAGGAGCTCCGAATCCAGCACTCCTTTCCCTACCCCTGTCCAGGGAGAAAGGCTGGAGATGAAACAGCCTGATGGGGCTCAACCAACCAGAATACATCAGAAGGGACGCCTCTGTGGCTGGGGAAGGAAGATGCTAGAGCTGCTGGGAGGAAGTGGGAGAATTGTCAGGCACCAGCATGGCCCAGGAAGCCCCTGACTACTGCAGAGTGTAGGGGTAAGTGAAGAAAACGAAAATTAGGACATCATAATCGCCTTCTTCTTAATGAGGAAATACATTACGCAAGTTGGGATTTTTTATTTGTAGTTACTTCTGTGAATGGATGATATTTCTTCACAATTTTACATTGATTCTTTGCATCATAAAGGAATTAATTTGTTACCATTTGATATTATATTGACTCTTTTATAGCTATGATAATTTTGGAGAAAATCTTTGATGTTTTCAAACATATAAGGAGAAGGAAATAATATTTAATTATTTAATTAGTAATTATTATTTTATTTCTTCTTCATATAAAAATGTGGTGAGGCTGGGCGCACAGCTGAATGAAATTTAAAAGAGTCAGCTGGGCATGGTGGCTCATGCCTGTAATCCCAGCACTTTGGGAGGCTGAGGCGGGTGGATCATCTGAGGTCAGTAGTTAGAGACCAGCCTGGCCAACATGGTGAAACCCCATCTCTACTAAAAATACAAAAATTAGCTGGGCATGGTGGCACGTGCCTGTAATCCCAGATACTCGAGGGGCTGAGGCAGGAGAATTACTTGAACCCAGGAGGTGGAGGTTGCAGTGAGCCGAGATCACACCATTGCAGTCCAGCCTGGGCAACAAGAGCAAAACTCCGTCTCAAAAAAAAAAAAAAAAAAAGAATGTGGTGATACAAAGAACCCCACTTTAAATTTTATGTTTAAGAACAATTTCTTTTTCTCCTTTATTTTCTGTGTGTGTGTGTGTGTGTGTGTGTGTGTGTGTGTGTGAGAGAGAGAGAGAGAGAGAGAGAGAAAGACAGACAGGGTCTCATTCTGTTAACCAGGCTGGAGTGCAGTAGTACGATCTCAGTTCACCATAGCCTGCACCTCCTGGGCTCAAACAATGCTGCCACTCAGCCTGCCCAGTAGCTGGCACCACAGGCACATGCCACCATGTGCCTGCATGTTAATTCATGTACTTCCTCTTTCCCAAGTTCTCTAGTTTATAGCATGTCCTTTCCTGAGGAACATAAATCACATGTTATTGTCTGCCTTTCATCCTGAGAGGAAGGAGATAATCACATGGCCATTTTATGCTTGAAGGATTTGGTGATCACTGGGTCCAATGAAGAGCCTCAGGATGAGTCAGTGTGGTTTTACCCAGGCATGGAGAAATTAACTTCTTGATGATGATCAAGTCTTCTTATTAAATAGGAGTGCAACTGATAGAGGATCTTCTTACATTTGCTTTATTTCATGGTGCTGCCCAAATTCATGCTGTACCCTCAGCAGCAAGGAGTGGGACCATTACTCCTGGCGTTCCCAGATGGAACAGACACCAAGCCTGGCTTTGCCACTGAACACAATACAGGACTGATAAAGGTCAGTTCTTAGGAATATGCTTCCCAAATGTAGAAATCAACATAAGATCCCAATTTTAAATAATAGGTATAATAGCATAATATATTATTTTATTTTATTTATTTAGAGATGGAGTCTCACTCTATCACCCAGGCTGAAATGCAATGGCATGATCTCAGCTTACTACAACCTCTGCCTCCAGGGTTCAGGCGATCCTCCCATCTCAGTCTCTAGAGTACCTGAGAGCTAATTTTTTGTTTTTGGTAGAGATGAGGTTTTACCATGTTGGCCAGGCTGGTCTTGGACTCCTGAGCTCAAGTAATCCACCCACCTCAGCCTCCCAAAATGCTGGGATTGCAGAAGTGAGCCACCATGCCCAGCCGCATAATACATTATCGTTCTCTTTATATATAATTTGTACTAAGTTATAGATACACACTTATTCCATAACTCTATGTTCACCAGATCACCTCTTGCAGGTTGTACAGTGAAAACACATCCTTAGTTTCAAAAGATGTGTGTATACCAGATTTTTCAGACATAGGCTTGGTTTTAGAATACAGTTTACTATGATTTTTGTAATTCATCTTAATTGATGTTTAATACCGAGAGAGAAGTCATATTGTCTCCAGTCATTTCATGTTATGATGTGCCACTAAGTCCAAATTTTATATAATAGTAATCAGGAGGCTGGGCACAGTGGCTCACGCCTGTAATCCCAGCACTTTGGGAGGCCAAGGCAGGCAGATCACCTGAGGTCGGGAGTTCAAGACCAGCCTGACCAATATGGTGAAATCCTGTCTCTACTAAAAATACAAAAATTAGCTGGGTGTGGTGGTGGGCGCCTGTAATCCCAACTACTTGGGAGGCTGAGGCAGGAGAATCGCTTGAACCCAGGAGGCGGAGGTTGCAGTGAGCTGAGACCACACCATTGCACTCCAGCCTGGGCAACAAGAGCAAAACTCCATCCCCCACTCCCAAAAAAAAAAAAAAAGTTATCAGGAAAACTTATAGTTGCTACAATATTATTAGATTAATACGAATTTTCAAAAATGGCAGAGCCTTAACCAAGCTTAAAGAGTTTTTCTTTCTTAACTGAACTTCTTGGATGTGACTACATGAAATTTTGATGAAATATGGTCATAAATTATGATGACAAGTTAGTTTTGGGGGATTTTATATATTACCAGATACCAATGCCAGAGGAAGAGCTATGTTAGGGGTCCTCAGAGCCACCCCAGGTGAGATGATGCCCTAGGAGGACTCACAGGGCTCATCATATGGTCCTACTCAGGGCTCTGATTCATTACAGTAAAAGGATGCAAAGCAAACTCAGCAGAGGGAAAGGCACACTGGGCAAAGCCTAAGAGAAACCAGGCTCAGGCTTCCAAGGATCCTGTCCCCCTGGAGCCACACAGGACACACTTAATTCCTCCCACAAGGAGCTGGGATGCCATGTGTAAAATATTGTCTACCAGGAAGTTCGTAACAGACCAGCACTAGGGCCTTTGGGGGCTTTGGGGGCCTTTGGGGGCCTTTGGGGGCTGAAGAAGTCAGACTTCTTCAGAGAAACAGAATTTATTGGATATATATAGGTAGATAGATGAGTGGGGATTTATGCTGGGGATTCACTCCCTCAACTATGGAGGCTGAGGAGTTCCACGTTAGGCCTTCTGCAAGCTGCTGAGACAGGGGAGCCTGTAGCATGGCTCAGTCCAAGTCTGAAGGGCTGAGAACCGGGGGAGCTGGTGGAGTAACTCTGAGTCCAAGACCAAAAACCTGGGGGGCTGCTGGTGCAAGTCCCTGAGTGTGAAGGCCAGAGAACCTGGAGATCTGATGTCCAAGGGGAGGAGAATATAGGACTCCCTACTCCAAAACAGAGAGAGAGTGAATTCACCTTTTTTCTGCCTTTTTGTTCTAGCCAGGCCTTCGGCCGACTGAATGATGCAGTGAGCTGAAATCACACCACTGCACTTCAGCCTGGGCAACAGAGTGAGACTCTGTCTCCAAAAAAAAGAAAAAGAAAGTCATATATTGGTACAGAAGATACTCTTAAATCCTACTTTTCTGGAAATATTGGTTATTATAGAAGATATAGGACTAAATTCATTTTAAAATTTTTATTTTGAAATTATTATTACAAATGTTTTATGAATCATATTAGCATATAGGCAAGTTTTGGAAAGCCAAAGTTACAAACCAGGGATTCAGATGAGTGTTCTGTGAAATTTTTAATTTTTGCAGAACACCATGAGAAATTACACATTTTCTATTCTATATTTCTTGTAGGAAATAGAGGCTGCCCATCTCTCAGTGCCACATATGAGAAAGGGAAGTTGTCATTTTATATATCCACTGTCAAGCATCTTGGTAAAACAGAAGAAAGCAGGCTGGGCCTGGTGGCTCATGCCTATAATCCCAGCACTTTGGGAGGCCAAGGAGGGCAGATAGCTTGACCAGCATGGGCAACATGGCAAAATCCTGTCTCTACAAAAAAATAAAAAAAAACAAAAAATAAATGTAGTCCCAGGTACTGAGGAAGCTGAGGCAGGAGGAACACTTGAGCCTGGGAGGTAAAGGCTTCAGTGAGCCGTGATAATGCCACTGCACTCCAGCCTAGACAACAGAGTGAGACCCTGTCTCAAGAAAAAGAAAAACAAGAGGGAGGCAATCTACTTTATACCCAGAGAATTTTACATGCAAGGAATTTGACTATGAATAAGCCTCCATTGCTTAAGAGAGACTTCACTATTTGGGATTTTAAGAAAGAAATACACAAACAAGCAAATCTCATCAGCAGAGGACTGAGAAACCAGTGTTTATAATACCCAGTGATTAATGTAATATTGTCTTCAGTCATCATTAAAAGGGACTTAGTTTAAAAGTCATTTCGATTGATCGCCAACTCAGAGTCCTCAACATTTCACCTTTTGCTTTATGAAAAGAACTAGTAGATTAATTTAGAGTTTGACAAGGAGAAGCAGGTCTCCCTTGATTTTCTGTTTGGCCAAGAATTTATCCTAACATGGTACCATCAGAATACTGTCAGAAAGCTGTGAGTCAACTCAGATTTCTCACCATTGAGTCAAGCCGTGAAGCCAGCTGTCTTGGGGGTAAGGATTTCCATACAGAAACACTGTAAGTAAATAATTTAGCACTTGTTTCCTATTCCTTTTTATTGGATAACTACAGAGAATTAAAACTGTGGGTTGTTTTGAATTCACAAAAGAAATGTTTTAAAGCTTTCGAGGAAAAAGCCAGATTATCCATTGCAAAGCATCGAAATTCAAAATCATGTTAAGGCTATAGAGAAATAGGATCCTATCCCCACCTAGTGGCCAACACTGAAATCTGGGCTTAGAACAGGAAACAAGGGAATTTGTCAACAATTTGGGAATACTCCAGCATTCTTTACAAAAAAAAGTTAGAGAAAAAGTTAAGCACACAAAAAACACAAGTCAAAATAAATACGACCAAATACATAGGTTTTGGCAGCACATAGATTTCTGTGGTTTTGCTATGCTTTTAGCAGCGGCTGTAAAAAGCATTGCACACTAAGCATTGCTAGATTGCCAAACAAACCTAATTACATTTTTTGTTTGGTTTTTTGTTTTTTTCAAAACCTCCTAACCTCTGTGACCTAATTATGTTTTTAATGAGTTGATTGTAAAAACTAACATCAGCGAATACAAAATTTCAGTTAGACAGGAGGAATAAATTCAAGATATGTACTGTACAACATGGTGACTCTAGTTAATAACAATGTACTGTGTACTTGAATATTGCTAAGTGAATAATTTTAAGTGTTCTCACCCAACACAAAAAATATGTAAGGTAATGCACATATTAATTAGCTTGATTTAGCCATTAAACAATGTGTGTGTGTGTGTATATATATATATATATATATATATAAACATCATATTGTATACCATAAACAGATTCAATTTTTGTCAATTAAAGAATTAAATGAATACATATATTTTTGTTGCACAGATGTATGAGAGATTGATCAATAAAGATTCTAAAATATTTGTTAAAAGTTACAAACTGAGGGAAAGCCTTCGACATCGTATTTGCAAGAAAGAAAGTGTACATAGTTAGACAGTCCTAGTATCTGTAAAGTGGGTGTGATCATCGGAGAGCAATCCCTTGAGCAGTGCTGTCCTATACAATGTTCTGCTGTTAGGGAAATGTTCTGTATCTATCCAACCGAGCCGCCACTAGCCACAGGTGGCTCTTGAGCACTTAAAATGCTAGCAGCTGGTGAGACGAAGGGGCTGAAGTTCTCATTTAATTTCAAATTAAGGCAGAACCGCCTATAAGAGAAAGTGCTAAAGAATTGGAAAAATGAAAAAGAATTTGAGAACCCAGTGGGAATGGAGCTAACGTGTATGGTCATGGCTCATTAGATTTGGGGATATCGGAATCCCAACAGCACAATGGGCTCATTAGAAAATTAACAAGGTTACAAAACAGGTTAAAGGAAGTATCAAAAATAGTCCAATTTTAGCAGATACAGAAGCTGCAAATTTAGCAGTAGTTTTGGCAAACCCTCAATTCATGTAATTTAACAGTGCTAGGGACCAAACCGAAGGGGAATGCCAAGACAAAAAGCTTATAAACGTTAAGAGCTCATTTCTCTTAGAACATACAGAAACAGGGCACTTCCACACCTTCGATTCATTCTCCAAGCTTAAAGAGCTTTGCCCTAAAACCAGATCCTCTCATACGATGGGACAAACAGCCCCAATGTTCTTCCCTCCAGATCTGTTCCAACCTGTGTCTGGAGACACTCTGCACTCACGTTAAAACAGTTTAGACAAAGGACAATGTTTAGGAATTCCAGAAACTTTGGGATATAACATCAATGGCAACTTTTAATTAGGAAAACCCAATCTAATAAGAAGGGCTATTTTGAATACCAGGGTATGTGGAGGGGAAAGTATGAAGGTGGAAGGTTATGAAACATTAATGGGAGATACAGAGAACCAAGAAAGCTTCTATGGTGATTTCTCCTGCCCCTGGGCATGTTATCTGAACTTACGATTGCAACTGTGGGAGCTGGAAAAGCTCTTAAGAACCTCTAGAATTCCACTTCCCCACAAAACAACGTAATATGAAATAGTGACAAATCCCTAGGAGAATATGTAAAATAACAATTATGATAACATTGTTGGAGAAATCTGAGATAAAGAGTAGGACTCTTTAACAACTCATTTTGGCCAGTCAAAAGGGAGGTGGAGCTTGGAAGTGAATTGTGAATTACACCGATATTAAGAAAAGCAGCTAATTCTGAAGTAGTATTAAGTGGCAGTGACTATTCTAATCACTTTAAATATTTAACTCAATTATGAAAAAAATGTGATTAGCACTGTACATGATATTATTTCCTTAGTAGAAGATCTTGCTAAATCAACCCTTGATTAGCATTCATGCATCAATCTGGCTGATGTATCCTTTTCAATCCCAATAAATTATATTCACCAACAGTCTGCCTTCACTTGGCAGCCCCAACCTTTACTAAGTTGCCAGAGTAAATTCTCCCACCTCCGAGGTACAATCCATTGAGCAAAATTTAAACAGCCTAAATCCAATTCAAGAATTAACATTGTTTTATTATCCTAATGACACATTAACCAGGAGTGACTTGAAAAAAGCTGTGTCCATGAGGAAACTTTTTGGGGTAATAGAAATATTATCTTCATTGTAGTAGTAGTTACACAATGAATATGTTTGTCAAACTCATAAACAACTGTACAGCTATGGTTTCACTGTATTTAAATTATATCTCAGTAAACCTGATTTTATTTATTTATTTATTTGTTTATTTATTTATTTATTTATTTATTTTTGAGATGGAGTCTCACTCTGTTACCCAGGCTGGAGTGCAGTGGCGCAATCTTAGCTCACTGCAACCTCCCCCTCCCAGGTTCAAGCAATTCTCCTGCCTTAGCCCCAAGTAGCTGGGATTATAGATGCGCACCACCATATCCAGCTAATTTTTGTATTTTTAGTAGAGACGGGGTTTCACCATGCTGGCCAGGCTGGTCTCAAACTCCTGACCTCAGAAGATCCGCCCACCTCAGCCTCCCAAAGTGCTGGGATTACAAGTGTGAGCCACTGTGCCTGGCCTGAACCTGGTTTTTTTTAAAGCAACTGCATCAAAAACCTCTGTCTTCCATTATTAATTTTATGAGTTAAAAGGAACAGACTATAAAAGAGCACAAATGTTGGTAAAATTTTGGGGAGAAAAATTCTGCCCAAGACCAGGTAAAAGCCTTTGTGCTTGAAAGCCCCCAACTTGAAAAAGAGGAACAGAAATTAATTGGCGTGTTTGAATTATGAAGACTGCATATCCCACATCTGTATTAAACTTGGGTCTCTTCATTGAATTATGTGGGTCCTTAAAAGAGCCTCAGAGCTGTGCTGTCTAATATGGTAGCACTAGCTAGCTACCTGTGGCCATTTAAATTAAATAAAATTAAAATTGAATTTCAAATTGAGTTTCTTAGTGCACTAGCCATGTTTCAAGTGCTCAATAGCCACATGTGAATAGTGGCCACCACATTAAATTGCATAAATGTAGAACATTTCCATCATCACAGAAAGTGCTCACAGACTTAGAGGCCAAACTGTCTTAGAGGCCAAACAGGTATATAGACCACTGGAGTTTAATGACTTAAGTATTGAATACAAAATTAGGTGGCATATGTCTCTGAAAATTCAATTGGCTGATATTTCTAACCATTAAAACCATCTTGAGATGGCCAGGTGCAGTGGCTAATGCCTGTAATCCCAGCATTTTGGGATGCTGAGGCGGGTGGATCACCTGAGGTCAGGAATTCGAGACCAGCCTGGCCAACGTGGCAAAACCCTGTCTCTACTAAAAACACAAAAAAATTAGCTGGGCATGTATCTGGGGAACCCACCCCTAATATTTCAATGCAGGTTCTTTCTATTTTCCCTAAGTGTCGGCCAGTCTGAGAAATAAAGAGAAAGAGTACAAAGAGAGGAATTTTACAGCTGGGCCGCCAGGAGTGACATCACATATCAGTAGGTCCATGATGTCCACCTGAGCCACAAAACCAGCAGCTTTTTATTAAGGACTTCAAAAGGGGAGGGGGTGTACAAACAGGGAGTAGGTCACAAAGATCACATGCTTCAAAGGGCAATAAAGATCACAAGGCAAAAGGCAAAGCAAAGATCACAAGGCAAAGGGCAAAATTAGAATTACTGATGAGGGTCTATGTTCAGCTGTGCACATATTGTCTTGATAAACATCTTAAACAATAGAAAACAGGGTTCGAGAGCAGAGAACCGGTCTGACCTCAAATTCACCAGGGTGGGGTTTTTCCCCACCCTAGTGAGCCTGAGGGTACTGCAGGAGACCAGGGCGTATTTCAGTCCTTATCTCAACCGCATAAGACAGACACTCCCAGAGCGGCTGTTTATAGACCTCCCCCCCAGGAATGCAATTATTCTCCCAGAGTATTAATTATCAATATTCCTTGCTAGGAAAAGAATTTAGCGATATCTCTCCTACTTGCACGTCTGTTTATAGGCTCTCTGCAAGAAGAAAAATATGGCTCTTTTAGCCCAACCCCACAGGCAGTCAGACCTTATGGTTGTCTTTCCTTGTTCCCTAAAATCGCTGTTATTCTGTTCATTTTCAAGGTGCACTGATTTCATATTGTTCAAACACACATGTTTTACAGTCAATTTGTACAATAGTGGCCCTGAGGTGACGTACATCCTCAGCTTGTGAAGATAACAGGATTAAGAGATTAAAGTAAGACAGGCATAAGAAATTATAAGAGTATTACTTGGGAACTGATAAATGTCCATGAAATCTTCACAATTTATGTTCAGAGATTGAAGTAAAGACAGGCGTAAGAAATTATAAGAGCATTATTAGGGAAGTGATAAATGTCCATATTAAAATGAAATCTTCATAATTTATGTTCCTCTGCCTCGGCTCCAGCTGGTCCCTCCATTTGGGGTCCCTGACTTCCCGCAACAGGCATGGTGGCAGGCACCTGTAATCCTAGCTACTTGGGAGGCTGAGGCAGAAGAATGGCTTGAACCTGGGAGGCAGAGGTTGCAGTGAGCTGAGATTGTGCCACTGCACTCCAACCTGGGCGACAGAGAAAGACTCCATCTCAAAAAAATAAAATAAAATTAAATTAAATTAAAAAGTCTTGATCCACGTTGCAAATATCCTAGTGGTGTACTAACAAAGCCAGAGGCCTCCTCAGACAGCCAGACACCTCAGAGGCAGACATATATGCAGAGGTAACTAATGGTGGCCTCACGAGGAAAGGGGCAGCTACTCCATGAGCACAAGCTCTAGATACTTAGCCTTCAAATACTTCAAAAAACAAAACAATCCCTCGGGGAGAGATTTCCGAGCAAAACAAAACAGCCCATTTGTTTTTAGACTCCTGCTATAATGCTTTGCCTAAAGGTATTGGCCAAGGCGGGTGGATCACTTGAGGTCAGGAGTTTGAGACCAGCCTGACCAACGTGGTGAAACTCCATCTCTACTAAAAATACAAAAATTAGCCAGGCATGGTGGCACATGCCTGTAATCCCAGCTACTCAGGAGGCTGAGGCAGGAGAATCGCTAGAACCTGGGGAGCGGAGGTTGCAGTGAGCTGAGATCCACTACTGCACTCCAGCCTGGGTGACAGAGCAAGACTCCCTCTCAAAAAAAAAAAAAAAAGAAAAAACGAAAAAAAAGAGGGGTTGTCCTTATTTCCCCTTTCTCCTTCAGCTGACTGGAACACAAACATGAAAGCTGGAATTCAAGCAGTCATATTGGACCTGAGAGAGAAGAGCTATGTTGAGGCTGGTGGAAGAAAAAGATAGATAGAAGGAACCTGAGTCTCTGACACTTAAACACTACACCAGCCCTAGGGTTGCATGTGAGAGAGAAATGAACTTCTATCTTGGTGGAGACACTGTTGTTTCCAGGGTTTTCTGTTTCTCACAGCTGAAGCTAATCCTAACCAAGCAGAACAAGCACAAAGTCATCAAAACATAAACTGGAGTTTGCAAAGCACATGTCACTTCCAAGCATCAGATACAGTAAAATGATGAGATGTTTTTCCCAAGCCCTGGCTCAGGACCCTCCCTAACAGCTCCCCGACAAGCCCTTTGTCTTCTTAGTAATCATGCCTTGCATGGTGCCTTTTCCAACATCATGCCCCTCCGTGGAGCTCATTAGTAAGGAGCAAGTGAGATTCTTTTTATTTATCTAATCAGTGAATTCCAAAAACTGACAAACAGGATAAAGAAGGAATACCAGCCACTGTTATGAATGTCAATAAGACATTTGTTCAGTTCAGGACCATCTCAATTTCAGAAGGGACCTGCATAGATTTATTTGCAGTAATAAATCAATAACAATTCAGTGGCAATTATACTTCCCAGTTTCCCACACTGCATCTATAGCTTCCAGGTACAAGTCTTAGTATCTTCAAAGCATTTGCAATAGCCATAAAATGGCTCTTTCATGACAGCAAAGTGGTGGCAGGCATTTCTACAGCTAAGGGGTGCCGAACACGTCTCATGCGTCTTTTCTTTATTGGTGAATGTCATGTTTGACAGTGATGTAAATGGAACAGCTATTATGAAAAACGTGCTTATAGTTTAGCCAAAGAAAATATGTAAGGGTAACATTGTAGGAGGGTGGAGTGTAAACATATGAAGAGTCTGGAACCCTGATGGCATCATTAAATGCTCAAACCAATGCTGGAAGCTGTCATCCTCAGATTTCTTATGAGAAAAATGAATTCCTGTTTATTTTAGCCCCTGTTTTTTGGGTTGTCTGGGCCTGCACTTGCAAGCATTTCTGCTGGATGCAGCAGGTCCCAGGAGGCCCTTTCAGACCTAGGGCATTTGGTTGCCTTTCCCACTCTGTGCCTTTGCTTATTTCTTTTTTTTTTTTTTTTTTTTTTTTTTTTTTGACAGAGTTTCACTCTTGTTGCCCAGGCTGGAGTGCAATGCCGTGATCTTGGCTCACCGCAACCTCTGCCTCCCAAGTTCAAGCGATTCTCCTGCCTCAGCCTCCTAAGTAGCTGGGATTACAGGCATGTGCCACCATGCCCGACTAATTTTGTATTTTTAGTAGAGATGGGGCTTCTCCATGTTGGTCAGGCTGGTCTCGAACTCCTAACCTCAGGTGATCCGCCCGCCTCAGCCTCTCAAAGTGCTGGTATTACAGGTGTGAGGCACCACACCCGGCCATCTTTGCTTATTTCCTTTTTTTTCTTTTCTTTTCTTTTCTTTTTTTTTTGAGACAGGGTCTCATTCTGTCTACCAGACTGGAGTGCAGTGGCATGATCTCGGTTCACTGCAACCTCTGCTTCCCTGGTTCAAGTGATTCTCCTGCCTCAGCCTCCCCAGTAGCTGGGATTACAGACACGTGCCACCACACCTGGCGAATTTTTTGTATTTTTAGTAGAGACAAGGTTACACCATGTTGAACAGGCTGATCTCGAACTCCTGACCTCAAGTGATCCACCTGCCTTGGTCCCCCAAAGTGCTGGGATTACAGGCATGAGCCACTGCACCTGGCTGCTTATTTCTTACGGGATCTCTCCAGTTTAGAGCAGAGGTTCTCAACACAGCCTGCACTTTGGAATTGCCTGGGGAAATTTTACACAAGTCCCTTTGCTCACGCCCCAAATGGGTTGAATCCAGATCTCTAAGGGTGAGCACAGGTGGGCATGACTATTTTTAACAGTTCTTCTAGATTAGTGATTCCCAATTTTTTTAAATCTCAATTTGAAAAAAATCTCTCAATGTTTTAAGAGTATAAACCCCTTAAATTACTGAAAACACTGAAAAGCTTTACTTACAATATTGTTATTGATATTTACTGTATTCAAAATTAGAACTGAAAAAGATTTTTAACATGTATTAATTCTTTTTAAGATAGCAATAACAGGCAAGGCTCAGTGGGTCACACCTGTAATTCCAACACTTTGGGAGGCCAAGATGAGCAGATTGCTTGAGCTCAGGAGTTGGAGACCAGCCTGGACAAGATGGCAAAACCCTGTCTCTACAAAAAATACAAAAATTAGCCGGGCATGGTGGCTGGCGCCTGTAGTCCCAGCTACTTGGGAGGCTGAGGCTGGAGCATCGCTTGAGCCTGGGAAGCGGATGTTGCTGCAGTGAGTTGAGATCGTGCCACTGTGCTCCAGCCTGGGCGACAGAGCAAGACCATCTCAAAAAAAAAAAAAGCAATAATAAACCACTTTTGTATATGCTTAAATTTGTCCATAATAAAAGTAAACAAAAAGGACTTTAAATAAATTACGGAAAATGTAGATCTTTAAAGAATTAGAAGACCATCAGCTTTATTTGGATCATGAGTCAAACACACACACACACACACACACACACAAAACCTACAAAACAATCTTGGAAATCTGAACACTGACTGGATATTTGATGACAACAGGAATGATTATTAAAATTGTGGTAACAGAATTGTGATTACATTTTAAGAGTAAACCAGTAAAATCTTTAACAAAGACACAAGGAGGGCCCATGGATCCATTATGTACAGTAGCCACAGTGCCTAGGGCCCACAATACTCCCATGGCAATGTTTACATTTCTTTTAAAATAGAAAAAAAATTAAGGTTGAAGAAAATATTTTAATATATAATATTAATATAGTTGCCTGTGTATCAACACAATCATAAGTATGATTTCAAATTTATTGTTTAGAAAAGTGCATAGGGCCCGCAGAAGTCACAATGCAGCCCTGGATATAACGGCCATGAAAGTTTATGTGCTGAATCACAAAGTGGCAAAATATGAACTGGCAGAGATGTCGGCCTCTGAGGTTAGAGAGGTCATGGCCACAGCTGCTGAATGTGACTTTGGGTTGCCCATCCAGGAGATTGGGTGGCAGGGAGAGCAAATGTGATCATGAAGGGGCTGGTTGTATCACGCTGGTCAAATGCATACAAAGGAGTCTGTTTAGACAGAAGCGAAGAAGGGAAAGCAAGCGGACACCTCCTGGGGGCCTCAGGATCCCACATTATCTGGAAACAGTGCCCCCAACACCCCTCCACCTCCACCAAAAGGCATCCTACATACCTCTTGGTTGGTACACTGGGCCCTCAGCCACAGAAAATTGGTTCTCAGGGACAGAGATAACCCAAGCTAAGCCAATCAGATTGTCTCTCCATGACTTTGAACCATGGGGCCCAGAGACACAGAGGTCAAGAGCAGCTCTGCTGAGCGGTGAGTATCCACACTCCAGGGACAAAGTCCATGAGCCCCTGAGGTTCCCAGAACTGCTCTCAGTCTTCCCTATTGAGTCAACTCTGTCTTCAAATCCTGAGAAACCCAATATTTTTACAATCAATTCCTTTTGGAGCTTAAGCTATTCTGAATCAGATTTTGCGATTTGTAACAAGAAAATAATAATAGTAAGTATAGAGTTTTAACAGCACTAAAATCAAAAGTGGAAAAGGGACAGCAGCATGCCCCAGACACCCGTGTGTCAGCAATAACCAAGACATGGAGATGGAACCAAGACAGCTTGTCAGGTCCCTCCCCTCACTTTCCATTGCAAAGGCTGTCAGTAAAGGGGGAATTATTCCTTTACAGAGCAAGTATTATCCCACTTTGCAGGTGAAGAAACTGATGCTGAGGTTAAGTGTGCAACTCAGAAGCAAAGCATCCCTGACAAGCTAAGGGAAGGAGAACTCTCAGTTGGAAATACAGAGAGGCCCGCTGCCAGCTAGAATCAGTGCCACCTTTGGCCCTAAGTCTGCTCAACCCACCCAAAACTAGACCACCTGCCACTCAAACTCTTTTGTCTGAGTCCCTCTCTCCCCAGGGCCCCAATCAAACAGGGTGCTATTTCTCATCTTCTCCCTAACCCTAATGTCTCTGAAACATGTTTGTTGGGTTTGGGGTTTGTTTGTTTCTATAGATTTGCAGTTCTAAAAGTAAGGAAAACCTGCAGGTATTAATACAAATAACCACAACTGGGAAGGGATGGAATTATAAGAAATCTCTCCCAGCATTAGTAATACCAGTATGCCTTATTTCATGAGGAGAGCAGGCCGATTACCTGACCCAACAATATAGCCCAGGCCCGGGGGAGATGTGAACACAATGAGGAAGATATCTCTATGACCCACATTCTTTGGCCTGAGGCTCTGCCGGAGTCCAAGCCTGTTATAGGTGAAGTGGCCAAGACCTGGAACATGACCTTTACATGAGCTGCTGTACAGCCAGTGTGGCTTTTATCTGTTGTACTTTGGGAAATCATCCATGCCTCAGGAACCAAAAGTCCTTCAACCTAGAGTAAGGCGTTTTTAATAGAAAGAGAGGCCAGATAGGCCAGGCGCGGTGGCTTACGCCTGTAATCCCAGCACTTTGGGAGGCCGAGGCGGGTGGATCACGAGGTCAGGAGATCGAAACCATCCTGGCTAACACGGTGAAACCCCGTCTCTACTAAAAATAAAAAAAAATAGCCGGGCGTGGTGGCGGGCACCTGTAGTCCCAGCTTCTCAGGAATCTGAGGCAGGAGAATCGCTTGAACCCGGGAGGCGGAGGTTGCAGTGAGCCGAGATTGTGCCACTGCACTCCAGCCTGGGCGACACAGCGAGACTCCATCTCAAAAAAAAAAAAGAGAGGCCAGATAATCCCAGCACTTTAGGAGGCTGAGGCAGGGGGATCTCTTGAGCCCAGGAGTTTGAGACCAGCCTCGGCAACATGGAGAAACCACGTCTCTACTAAAAATACAAAAAATTAGCTGGGCATGGTGGCACTCGCCTGTAGTCCCAGCTACTCAGGAGGCTGAGGGGGAAGAATCACCTGAGCATAAGAAGTCAAGCCTATAGTGAGCCATGATTGCACCACTGCATGCTAGCCTAGGCAAGGGGAGTGAGACCCTATCTCAAAAACAAAAAACAAACAAAAAAAGAGAGGCCAGAGCGAAGTACACAAAATGGATTGACCTGCTCCTGCCAACTGAGGGAAAGCCAGACAGGGTGATATGCTGGCTCTCGCTGAAGCTGAGAGCTGTGTTCATTCTACCATCCTGGCCGTGTGGGGAGAGCCCTAAAGGAGAAGCCCATGTAGATATCCTTGGTCTTTATTCAAGGACTAGCAGGACAGGTCTTCCCTACTGAGATGGCAGTCTGCTGTCAGTGCCAGTTCCCATGAAACTACTCTGAAGATGAAAGAAAAGATAACAGAAGGCCAGTTATAAGCACTTAAGGTGACTTCTGCTTACTCTAGGTTTGAGTTGAGAAACATAGCTATGGCCTACACATGTACAGTCTGTGAACTGCACAGCTCGACAGAAAGAAGCTCCAGTGTGGCCCTGATGCTCCCTGCTGACCACACCACACTTGCAGGAAAATGGGCTAAACAACCACAAAACAAGGTGGCCACCAGCTACTACACAGAAACTTATTTCTGAGGCAGCTGGAGCCCTTTGTTTGTTTGTTTGTCTGTTTGTGATGGGGTATCTCTCTGTCACCCAGGCTGGAGTGCAGTGGCAAGAGCATAGCTCACTGCAACCTCAAACTCCTGGGCTCAAGTGAACCTCCTGCCTGAGTCTCCTGAGTAGCTGCAACTACAGGCACATGCCACCATGCCCAGCTAATTTTTAAATTATTTTTTTGTAGAGAAAAAGGGCCGTGCGTGATGGCTCATACCTGTAATCTCAGCACTTTGGGAGGCCGAGATGGGCAGATCTCTTGAGCCCAGGAGTTCTAGACCAGCCTGGGAAACAGGGCAAAATCCCATCTCTACAAAAAATACAAAAACTAGTGGTACATGCCTGGAGACCCAGCTACTCGGGAGGCTGAGGTGGGAGGATGGCTGGAACCCACGGAGGTCGAGGCTGCAGTGAACCTTGATCTTGCCACTCCACTCCAGCCTGAGTGACAGAGACCCTGTCTCAAAGAAAGAGAGAAAGAGAGAGAGAGAAGGAGTTTTGCTTTGTTGCCCAGGCTGAGAGCCTTGTTTTGACTCACTCCCTCCTCTGTCTCATCTCCACCCCCACCTGCCCTGGTCCATTCAAAACTACAAACCTCAGCATGCAAGACAGCCAAGGGAGGGCAAGAACAGCTCTGTGTAGCCCATGGCCTTCTAGGATATGTGGTGCTCCCAGGTACAGTGATATAAGTGGTCTGTAAGTTATTTTTATTTTATTTCACAAGTTATTTTTTAACCATAAGTTACAGATGCTAAAAATATAAGCCCAAAGCTGAAAAGCAGCTCCAAGGGTGTGACAGGCCAGAGGACCCACCCCACAGCCCTCCCTCTATACATGATCTCCCACGCGGTGGCTCACGCCTGTAACCCCAGCAGTTGGGAGACCGAGGCGGGAGGATCATGAGGTCAAGAGATCAAGACCATACTGGCCAACGTGAGGAAACCCCGTCTCTATTAAAAATACAAAAATTAGCCAGGCGTGGCAGTGCACACCTGTAGTCCCAGCTATCCGGGAGGCTGAGGCAGGAGAATTGCTTGAACCTGGGAGGCAGGGGCTGCAGTGAGCCGAGATGGCGCCACTGTACTCCAGCCTGGGCGACAGAGCGAGACTCTGTCTCAAAAAACAAAAAAAAACATGATCTCCCTGTGCGCCCCATCCCAAACCCTCCTCTCCTTCGCCACCATGCCAGCGCACAATTCCATCATATCACTTGCCTTTTCAAACACCATCTATGACTCTTAGTTTTTGGGTTCAAGTTCAACTCCTTCCATAAGCAGTCAATACTTTTCAGAATTTGGCCCCTCCAACAAGAGTTTATGTTCTGCCCCAATCAAACCCAAAGTAGTTCCCTAAAGCCTCTGCCTTTCTCTTCCCTATCTCCTCCCACCCCACCCAGAAGCCTCCATTGCCCACCAGCCAATGGAGACACTGCCACTACCCACAGGCCCAGAGGCCTGGGCACTTGCCCTGTTCACACCCAGCCCCACCCCAAAACCCCGCCTCTACAGCCCTGCCCTTAAACCCCTCCCACCCTTCCTTAGAGCCTGGCTCTAGCTTTCTGGAGGGGAGGAAGAAGTTAGCTGCCAAGAGAAGGCTGTGGGCCTGGCCTCCTCAACAGCAACTTGGCACAGACTCCCTCGTGAAACTGTTAGATGGGGTTGGTTGGCAGCACTGTGTAATTAAATAGGCTTTTGTGGATTGGCCTGGGGACTTAGCCGCCGTATATAAATGTTATTCGAGTGACTGTACAGCATTGTTTCCATGCAGAAAAGCCCTCGGAACTCAGAGCATCTGACCAAACGTGACCTTTGGGAAAGTCCTCTTGCTGTTCGGGGGGCGACCTCTGCGGGTTTGGCTCCAGCTGCAGAAAGAGCGCCAAAGAAATCTCAACTCCAGCCCGGCTAGGCTGGGAGTGGGTGCGGGAGAAACAGATGGGGGGCACCTATTTAGATCTGATCTTCTCTTAATGTGACCCTGAGAGGGAGGGAAGGGGGTGTCTGAAGCCCCTGGGCCTTGGATATTGAGATGGAGAGCATGGGTGATCCCAGAAAACCTATCCACCACCGGACCCCTGACAGATGAGATCAGGGGCTTCTTCCTCCATTCGGCCTTCGGGGTCAGGGGGTTCAGCGGGTGACAAGGGAGAGGCGTCTGAGGGACCGGGATTATTCAGCTGACCCGGTGCGGGGCCGCGTTCTCAGCGCGGGCACTAGGGGGCGGCAGAGGCGGAGGCGCCAGCGCCGAGGAGAGGCTTCCACCCTCGAGAAGTTTTTCCGCGCACCCGCCCGGGCCAGAGTGGCCGTCTAGACGCCCACGTGGGGCTTCCTGCGATCGAGAATGGGTTGGGACCGGGACGGCCAAGCCGATGCTGTCGGGGACACGCTGGGAGGAAGAAGTACGGGGAGGAGGGGCGGGGGCGCAGCCTACCCGGGCTCGGGCTCGGGGTGAAGGGCAGCCCTGCCAGGCCCGCCCCGAGGCCGCGGATGCGAAACCGGGACACAAAGGCACGCACTCTTGATTCTGGCGCCCGCGAGGAAGAGGGTTGAGGAAGAGGAAATTGGGATGAGGCCCTGGAACACGTTTTAATGCAGCGCCCTGACAGGCAGGAGCCAGGCAATACTGCTTGGGAATGTGAAGCCCCATGGGCACCAGCTAGGGGGTCCCGGCTGCGCGGCCAGCCTTGGAAGAGAGGACTTCTTGGACACCTAACCCGGAGGGAGCAGAGCTTCTGAGTGCCCAGGAGAGGGAGGCTAGGGAAGTGGGGGACAGTCAAGAGTGGGGGGACACAGGCAGGGACTGTGCGACTCCACCCAACACAAAGACTCAACGAGTATGCACGTGACTACACGTGAGTGTGGAGGGCTTGGCCACAGCCCTGTCTTCATGACAGCACAGCACAAGGCTGATGGGGAGGGATAAGGTGACCAGAGGTACAGATGCAGTAAATGTCTTGGAAGTGGGCCTCAGCCTCCCCATTTACAGAGATTAGACTGGGCTATGTAGCACCGTCCCACCCACACCCAGAAGCAATCGCACACCCGTGTCAGAAACTGGAGCCATAGGGACCCCAAACCCCTACCTGGTGTCCCTGGGGCATTGTTTGTAATTTTATGCTAGTCACCCAGGCTTTGTAAACTCTGGGCCCTGACACCCCAGCTGGACAGGGCTTGCAGGGTATCTGGATTAAGCCATACAATTCTGGTAACCACTTAGCTGGGAAGAGGAAGCATCAGATGGGTGTCGGGGGAGACTGAAATAACAACACAAGCAGTGACACAGACACCTGGGAGGAGACAATCACATTATTTAACCATCAGTCAGCATGGAAGCTGGGCACAGGGTCCTGGGAGTCCCTTCCATATGCCACACATTAACCCTTTAATTGCAGGATCAGGGAAAGTGAGGGGTGCCCAGGGGAGGGACAGGGGTGGCAATGAACATACTCAGTGGCTCAGGGCCATGGCAATTTACCAGCCAATATAGAAGAATTTTAATATTCCAGCCATCTGCGGGATGCAGCCCTGCACACACCCCACACTATTCCGTTTCTTCCCTGGGGGAGCATCCTGGCCCTCAAGTAGCAGGCAGTGCCTGCCAAACCCAGACCAAGTGGAAGAGACAGTGGGCACATGGGCCAGGCAGCCAACACCTGTGGGTTAGAGAGCCCCACCCTGGCAGAGTCAGAGCCCTGAGGCCAGGGAGACCACATATTCCAACTTTCACAGTGGGTGCGACAGGTGAGGTGGGAGGAAGGTGGGAGGGAGGTGGGGTTCAGCCCTGAAACCCCCCTACACACAGTCACTGAGGAAAGTCCTGACTCCAGGATGTGGGTGCCGGAGCCCACCCCCGAGACCCCTGTCTTCAACATCTGCTGATTTTTGTTGGCGTTTCTCTTTTTTGTTATTTTGCTTTCCACACTTTAAATAATTAATACAATTACTTTTAAATACAAAATACGCCATGTCCTTTCTCTTCTCTTCCATTTGTTTGGGGTGATTGGGAGGTGAGTTTTAAATAAGGGTCTCAGCTCTCTAACGGGTAACAGGCTCCAGGTGGGAGGGCCAAGAGCCCCAGATGCCACTCCTCCCGTGGGGTGTCCAGGCAACCACTTCACCCCTCCCCTGGCCTGCCCCGACTGAGGGCTCTCCACGCCCTGGCCCAGGGCTCCCTAGATAGTGAGGAGCCCTCTTGGGAGGTGGCACAGAGCTGATGTTGTGGGATTCCAGGTGGGCCTGGTTCCGAATGGACAGGATCAGACAGAGACGGTCCTATCCCATGAAGCAGACAGGCCCCAGCAGCACCCCTCCCCGCCTCGGTGGGGCTCCCAGGTCTGAGAAGGAGGCATCCAGCACTGGCAGCTGCTCCAGCACAGGCGTTCGCACCTCCAGCACCGTCCGGCCTTGCTGTGTCTTCAGGGGGAGACAAGGAAGAAAGTGTGAGCAGGATGGAGGCACCCCCCACCCTCTAACCTCAGGCCCAGGCTCACCTCTCCTCTGAGCACCTTGGCCCCATCAGGGTGACTCAGGATGTACAGACTGGCAGTGTCTATGTGCCCATGCGTGTGTGTTTGCTTCTCCCCCACCGTGTGCCTCTGCTGGGCAGCCATGTGCCAGTCTGTGTACACGTCTGCATTAACCTGTGTGACGCTGGTGTTTGTACCCAAGTGAACCTCACCCGATGGCTTCCATCCTTTCCACCTTCCTCACCGGCTTTTGAGCTCCCTCAGGCATCCCTGACAATCCAGCAGGACGGACTCCTCCCTGCTCCCCCTGGGTGCCCTGCCCAAGGGGTCTTCCCACCTCCTTCCTCCAGCCTGAGTCTGAGATCAGCCCCCAACCCAGCTCTTCCTGTTCCCACCTGGCAGCCATCTCTGAATTCTTTGACATAGGGGCTAGTCTCCGGGCTCAGCTCATCCTCATTGGCCCCACGGAGTCTCAGGGGACCGTCACGGGCTGCTCCAGAGCAGGGGTAGGAGACGTCCTGGTGGGCTGAGACGCTGAGCAGCCGCAGGAAGGTGAGCTGGACCACACCCACTGGGGAGCCCTCTGAGTCCACGTAAGAGAACTGGAAGGAGAGAGAGGGCTGGCCTCAGAGGGGGAGAGAGAGGGCTGGCCTCAGAGGGAGACAGAGACGGGCCTCAGGAGCATCTACGGCACCAGGACAGCTGAGCCAGAGTCATGAGCAGGGAATGGCTGGAAGGCAAGGGCTGGGAAAGAAGTGAGGGGCTGAGTGGGAGCCAGGAGACTGGGGGTACACGAAAGGCAAAGTGAGCATCAGAGGACCGGTGAAAAGGAAAAGAAGAAAGAGCTAAGAAGTGGAGAAGGGGTGGCAGGCTCCGGGGGGGGCAACAGCCAGGGGACTGTCACCAAAACCCAGAAACCACTAAGCCCTGAGGGGGTGCACTATGGGGCAGGGGAGGGGCAGCGAGGGGCCAGCTCTCACCTGCGTGACGTCATCCCTAGGCGTCACACAGGTCTCACCCCCTGCTGTGAAGTTGCAGAAAACTCGGAAGGCATCCCGAGCACAGCCCTGGTTGGGGTCGACCCAGTACTCTCCTGTTGGGTGAGGGAGAGGGGAGGTCAGGGCCACCTAGGTCCAGGCTCCAAGATGCTCTTTGCCCCCACATTCCCTCTTCCCTCCCAGCCCTCCCCATCATGCTCTTAGTCTCCTGGTCCTCCTCCCTCCCAGAGCCCTAGAATCTAGCCCTACTGCTGGATTCTACTGCAGCATCCTACTGCTGCAGCCCACTTTCATCACGTGACACCTCTGCCCCCAACAGTAACCCCAGGCCCTCTGACTGGAGGAGGTCCGAGTATGGACAGCCTCATACTGGGACAACATGTGGTTGCAGGCGCTCACACAGATTCATCTGTTCAGGTGCAAACAGGTGTGTGCACGTATGTATGTTTATCTGCTCCTGCAGACACTGGGCTGATAACCAACTGGTACACACTGACCCAGATCAGTTGCTAAAGTATTGGGATACTTCTGACCTGGTTAGTAAATAGCTGCAGTTCCCAGCCCCTCAGCCCTCACCCTTAACCCAACACCTTCACCAAGACTCCCCCAGCATCCATTCTGCTTGTTCAGTACCCATGCTGTTGGGGAGATGTTTGTGCACCCTGAGGCTAGCACTGACCATCGGGAAGCTCTGGGTGGCACAGCTTCAGGTCCTGGCAGGTGCGAGCAGGGCTGTCCTGGGTCCCTGTTGGCCGCCTCATCTGCTCGATCTCCTCCCGCAGGGAGTCGAGTGAGCCAAAGATCTCCTCCAGCCCCCCAGGACTGCCGGGGGCTCCCCCGGTCGGTATGGCCTCATCTTCCTGCATCAGACGGCTTCCATCCACCGAGCGCCGAGTCTTCTTGGGCATCTGAATGGGCAGTGGCTGGATCACCTCGCCTGGGGGACCCTGGGTGCAGGGACAGATGGAGAGGGCAAGAGACAAGGTTGGTGTGAGGGTGAAGTGTGGCAGCAGTGGAGCAGAGGGGTACGGCCCTGGGAGCAGCCCTGACTCCTCACTCACCGGGTGTCCTGGAGGGCCCTGCACACCCTTCTCTCCCTTGGGTCCGCCTGGGCCCTGACAAGGAATAAATCAGGTCATGGAGGGGTCAAGAGGTCAAGCATGGATCAAGGTCACAGAAAGATCAAATCAGCCTCCTGGCTGGAATAAGGGGCTCCTTGGGGGGAGTCTATTTGTCCTGGAGAGACATCATCAAGTCCAGAGGGGGTGGAGCAAAGGTCAGAGCTGAAGGGGGTCACTCACTGTGGCTCCTTTGGCTCCTTTGGGGCCAGCAGGTCCCTGTGAAATGAGGAACAAGAAAGAGACGGTCACTGCAGGGGAAGGACAGGACTCAGAGGAGCGGGGAGGCAAGGTCCCAAGTCCACAGGAGCCTCGGGTTACTACAGGAGGGGCAGTCTTGTGGGAATACTAGGACATTCAGAGCCCTGGAAGTATGGGGAGGAGGTACTGGTGGTGACAGGACAAATGGGGGACCCTGAGGACTATGCTTGTTAGGCTGGTAGTTCCATGGAAGTCGTTGGGAGGCTGTGGGTGGGCAGCAGAGGGGTTTAGGGGATTTTGTGGAGGAACAGAGGCAGTACTCACGGGGAGGCCGGGGGGACCTCCAGGACCAATGGGGCCGGATGCTCCTGGGATACCCTAGGAAGGGTAGTGGCTGGTTCAACTGGGTCCTCCTCCCACACCCTCCTGAGCACCTGCTCGCTTACCCACAGCTGAGTCCCAACTCCAACTCCACCCCTCTCCACCCCACTCTCAACCCCCACAACTTCCGGGACCATGCCCTCTACTCACCATCTCACCCTTCTGCCCAGGGGAGCCCTGAGGCCCAGGAAGTCCCCGATCTCCCTTCTCTCCCTGCTCACCCGGGGGCCCAATCAGTCCAATGAGACCTGGGTGGCCCTAGAGAAGGGTGCAGGCAGTCAAGAGAATGCAAAGAGGAGTCATGTGGATGGGGGAGAAGGGCCAAGAGGACATGGAGAGGGAGCCGGGCACAGGGTCCGTGAGTGGCCCTCACTGAGCAGGGACTCCCTGGGACTGGCTGCCGGAGGCCTGAAGCAGAGCAGTGGGCACTTGGGTCCCACAGGTTTCAGGGGCGAGGGTGATGGGAGAGACACCTGGCCACGTGTCTGTCTGTCACTCACCTTCTCTCCCTTGGCTCCAGCATCGCCCCGGAGACCAGGCAGCCCTGGGGGTCCCTGTGGAGAGATGGGAAGTCATTCTCTTAAGGGAGAGGTGGGACCAAGTTCTCCCCAACAGCCTCCACTTCCTCCAGGGCTTCAGCTCTGTCCCAGGGCACTGCCCTCACCCCTCACTCAGCCCAATCCCAGTCACTCACCACAGGACCTGGGGGCCCAGCCTGGCCTGTAGCTCCAGGTCGGCCTTGCTGACCCTGAAGATTTGAGGGGGCCACAGGGGTCAGGAGGAGCATCCCCACACTGCACCCCTCCCATGGCCCCTCACTCCCACCCCAGCCCAGCCCTTCCCTGCAGTGACTCACCACTGAGCCTGGGAGCCCCCTCAGACCATCAGGGCCAGGTTTCCCTGCTGGGCCTGCAGGACCCACCGGGCCTGTCTTCCCCGGGGCACCTATAGCGCCAGGATCTCCCTGAAACACACACAAGGAATGTGTCCTGAATGGCAGAGGAGTGGGGTGTGGGCAGGGGGCAGAGGGTCCAAGGTGGGAGGCAGGAGGCAGGGAGGAAGGGCCAAACTCTAGGAGCCCCTAGCGCAGGAACAAGTACAGGGAACGCCTGTCCCCATAAGGGCCCAACATGGGAGAGGTGGAGATGGGGTGGGCATCTGGAGACGGAGGCATCTGAGGGGTGGGAGGCGGAGGGGATGCTCCAGCACTAGGGCAGCCTGTCCCTCACCTTGGCTCCCTTCCCTCCTTGTCGCCCCTCGGAACCAGGCGAGCCAGCAGGACCCTGCAGGTGGAGTGGGAAGGAAGAGCACATGAGGCCGTGGGCAGCCAGGCTCAACTCTTCCCCCTTCCTGTCCTAGACACACACATACACATGCACACACACACGTGCATACACAGGGACACGCGCCGAGGGCCGATTCACAGATGTGCAGAACAGATACAGCTGTGACAGTTGTGAAAATACTGGGTAGTCTGTACATTTGGTGAAGGGCCACTTGCCCACACCCTACCTGGTGGCCCGTCTCCTGCCCCAGAAACTAAAAAGGTTCACCCCTGGCCCACAGAAAAGCTGGCCAGCCCCTCCTCCAGTTTCCATTCTGCTTTGTCAGTAACCACCACTACCCCTGGTGAAAACATACACACCAGAACCCAGGAACAAACATGCCCGAGATACCGCACACCCATCAACCCACCAGCTCCTGCACACACACTCGCCCAGTGCAATGAGATACCGCATACCCTTAAACCCACCAGCTCCTGCACACACACCCTGCCCCGGGCAATGAGATACCACACGCCCTTAAACCCACCAGCTCCTGCACACACACACACCCAGGGCAATGCAGACACCAGGCACCTCCCCACCCATCCCACCTGCCATTGCCCAGCCTCCACCCACACAGCCCAGGGACTGCCTCCCAAGGTCTCAGGGGTCCACCTCACTTACTCGCTTTCCAAGTGGCCCTGGGGGTCCATTCTCCCCGGTGGGACCAGGGGATCCCTAGGGAGAGAGGAATTGGGGTGGCTGAGTGTTTATCCTCCAGCCAAGGGACCCCTCAGGAGTGGGGCACAGAAGAGGGGTAAAGAGGATGAGGCTTGGGCTCAGGGGGGTGGTGGGGTCACCAGGCACTCACAGGCTGTCCTGGCTCACCATCCTCGCCTCGGTCACCCTTAGCACCATCCTGGCCCTGCAGAAGTGAAGCAAGGTCAGAGGTGGGCCCCCAACCTGGCTGGCATCACCTCCAAAACTGTCAATACCCCATCCCCTTGCCCACCCTGCCATACCCCCGGCTTCCCAATACCCAAGCCCAGCGGCCACACAGAGGACCCCCCCATAGAAGCCCCACCCTTTTTGCCCCTTCCCTTCTCTGAGTAAGACTCACCCGAGGGCCACCTTCTCCAGGGGGGCCAGGGTCACCAGGAAAACCAACAGGACCCTGATCCAGATGGAGAATAAGAGTCAGGGTCACAGCTCCCTAAGCCCACCCAGCACAGACGCCCACAGGCACACGCCACTGCCTCTCTAGAGGCAGTGCCCACCAGTACCCCCCAGGAAGAGGTCTCCTGCACCCCTTTCCCTACCACGTGCACTGCGTGTTGTCTAATTCCTCAAGGTATTAACTGCAGGGCATCTCTCACTTTCTCTCCGGATCCTAGACCCCAGGCATCCCTCTGGATGCCCCATTCCCAGAGCATCCCCCAAACTCCCGGGCTCCCCACACTCCAAGATCCTCCCTCACACACACCCATATTCCCAGGTCTGTCATTCACAGGGCCTGAGAGGACTCAGCCCCCACTGCCCCAAACTCACAGGGTTCCCTTTGGGGCCATCATCGCCTGTGGGGCCTTTAGGCCCTGGTGGCCCTGGCTCTCCTGGCTGCCCCGACTCTCCTTTCTCTCCACGTTCCCCGCGTGGACCCTGCAGAACAAGCGGAGGACACAGATGGCCCAGGGAATCTTGAAGATCAGGGATGCAGCCTCTGCTTCCGAGACACCTTCAGCCATCCCCTACTCCCCTCAGTGACAATGGGACATACACAGAAAGTCAAGCCTACAAGGGGAGTTCCCTAGTCCCCTTCCCTTCAAGAAAGGGGAAGAAGGGCTCACTCAGACCAGGGATCAGGCCTCATAGAGGATGGCAGGGAGCAGAGACTCTTGCTGCAGAGGAGTTCCAGCTCAAGGAGGTCACAGGAAAAGTGGAGGCAGGGTTGAGGCGGGTGACGGGGACTGGGGAGTAAGGCCTTGGAGCTGTCACTCACCTTGACACCTGGCTCGCCCTGGATCCCTGGAGATCCTGACTCTCCTGGTTCCCCCTGCAAAGAGATTAGAGTCAAAAACCTCCTCTCCTTCCCCAGCCAAAAAATTCTGATATTCCCCACATCTCATTCTCTTTTGTCTCCCCACCCAAAATTGGCAGAAATCCAACTCCCATCCCCCACTTCCATGACTGGTCCACTCACCCCCTTCCCAGTTACCTTCTCTCCAGGGGGACCCAGGTTCCCAACACCTCCTGGGGGACCTTGTGGGCCCTGGAAGAGGAACAGAAATAGGTGTCATTGCTTAGGATGGAGGTGCCATTTCAGGGGCAAAGTCCCAGATGAGCAGCCCAAGGTTACAGCAGTGAGGCAGTGGAGGCCTCCCGGGAGTAAGGGCTTCTCTTGGCCCCTGAGACGATACTAGAGTTTATGGTCTGGGAAAGGGAGGCAGAAGACCAGACACATTGGTCTCAAGGGACAGGGGCTGAGATGACTCACATCAGCGCCATTGGGTCCAGCTGGACCTCGAGGTCCTGGGGGGCCAGGTGGTCCCTGGGGGAAACAGATACACCACAGATGAGGAAGGGAAGTGAGATGGCTGAGCATGAATGGTGGAGAGAGGAGGAGGAGCAGCCAGGCCAGGGAGTTGGCAGTGGGGTGTGGGGTGGGGGCTGGCCAGGGAGGGGGGTGACTAGTATGGTGGCTAGGGTCAGTAGGGGTCACACTCACCATAGGACCCACATCTCCTGTTTCTCCCTTCTCCCCAGAGGGGCCTGGCAAACCCTGTGCAAGTATACAAAACATGGGCCCAGGTGACGACCCCACCCAAAGCACAGCCCTAGGCAGATAGGCCCCACAGTCCCCTCCCCTCAGACTCCGCAGGCCCTCCAGTCTGCATCGGCAGGCTGCTGGCAGAGTCTGGGGCAAAACATCACCCCATCCTGACCCCACCTCTCAGCCCCTGTCCTATCCCCCAACACACCTGTAGGCCAATGGGTCCTGGGGGCCCATTGAATCCTCTTGTTCCTTCATCACCTTTGGCTCCAAAGTGTCCCTGGGGTCCCCGAGCTCCGGGCTCCCCATCTGCTCCCTGCAGGGTTGAGGGAAAGCAGAGACAAGGACACAGGGATGGGTCATGGGTCAGGTGTTCTCTATCCACAAATACCACACACAGCTGGGTGCCAGGCCCAGAGCCCCTGCTCCCACTCCCAGCCACAAGGGCAGAGGGGAGCTGAGGGAGGACCAGAGGCTGCTGGGCCTTCGGTGGGGGTGGAGGGGTCACTCACCGCTGCTCCAGGCTGCCCCACAGGACCAATGGGTCCAGGGGGTCCAGGAGGGCCCTGGGTAAGAGAAGAGAGTCAGAGACACCAAAACAGGGAGAGAGATCAGGTGGGACTGAGGTTAAAGGCCAGGAGGTCAGAAGTCAAGGTCATGGACACTTACATGTTCACCCTTGTTCCCTTTGGTGCCCTTCTGTCCGGGGTCCCCCACCTCACCCTGGGAGGAGAAGGCAGACAAGATATTAGAGAAAGGTGATGGGTAGAGTGGGAAGGATGACATGACAGGGGCCAGGGGTCATGCCCA
The DNA here is from genome assembly GCF_000001405.40 of Homo sapiens. NCBI lineage: Eukaryota > Metazoa > Chordata > Mammalia > Primates > Hominidae > Homo > Homo sapiens. Next base: position 4,414,911 of record NT_167245.2, read on the forward strand.
GGTCAGCCATCTCATCTGGAAAGAAGATTGGTCGGGGTCTGTGGGGTCCCCTCACCTTGTCTCCATCCTCTCCAGCCACACCTGGAGGCCCAGCAGGACCAGGAAGCCCCACAGGACCCTGCACTCCATCTCGGCCAGTCGGGCCAATGGGGCCCTTCTCACCCTGTGGGACAGGAGGAAGGAGTCATGGCCTGGAGGTGACCCTCACCCTCAAACACCCCACAGGAAACTTGTCATAGCCCATCAACCCTAGGCTCACAGACCCCTCCCCAGTACCCCTCCCCAATACCCCCACACTCACTGGGACACCTTTCTCTCCTGCTGCTCCAGGGGGACCCTGCGGGCCTGGGCGCCCTGGCGGACCAATGGGTCCCCCTGATCCTGCTGCACCTCGTTCCCCAGGGGAGCCCTGAGAAAGCAGATGGTCAGACCCCCAGGAAGGAGACACCAGCCCGCCCATACCAGAGAACCTCAGACCACAATTCCCAAAAGCTCCCAAAATCAGATGCATTCTGGCTGTCCCTGGACAGCCTCTGCCCAGCCCCACAGCCCCTGGTGGTATCAGAATGCCACTCCCACCCTTCCTCACCCACCCCTTTCCCGGGTCCTTCCTACCACTTCCGGAACCCCAGACTCACTGCAGGGCCAGGGGGGCCAGACGGACCTTCATTCCCCTTCAAACCAGGTCCACCCTATGAACCAGACATTTGGGGAAGATGAGACTTCACGAAAAGAGAAGGGTGAGAGCTGGAGAGGGAAGACAGGCTCCAAAAGATGGAAGTGGGGAGTGACATGGAGGGGGTCAGGGACAGGGTCGGGGTGGGGACTCAGGATGCTTGGTGCTTGTGACAGGCAGGGGTCTGGGAGTCACACTCACAGCAGTGCCTGGGAGGCCTCTCTCTCCTGGGAATCCCCTCAGACCAGCAGGACCATCCTTCCCTGGGGCCCCAGGGGGACCAGGGTCACCCTAAAAGGAAAGGAGAGGTGATGAGCCACAGCCATGCTCCCAAATTAAACAGAGAGCTCTCCAGCCCCCCCTCAAATCTCCAACTACCTGTTCCTTTCAGCACCCCAATCCCCAGCTCCCCCACTTCCCCTCTGCCTGGCCCCTCACTGACCTTTGTTCCTTCTTTTCCAGCTGTCCCAGGTAGTCCCTGCTCTCCAGGGGGCCCCGGGGGGCCTGGGTGACCTCTCTCCCCCATAGGGCCGGTTTCTCCTGCTGCTCCCTAGACAAAAGCAGAGAGAGTTCCTGCTCTCAGGCCCTTCATCTCGCTGTCTGCCAGAAGAGCCCACCCTGGCCACCCTAAAACACTCCTTCAGAACCCCTTTATCCCTGCCCCAAAGCTCCTGGGAAATTCCCCGGCATTCCTGGGCCACTGCTGGGTTTTCTCCTGCCCCATGTGGAGTAACTACACCACCTTGTGTCTCTGTTGGGGAACTGCCTCTCCTGGGGGACAAGACGATGAGAATGCGCCCCAAAACAGACTGAAGTTCAGGACCCCTGCCTGAAATCCCAGCCCCCACCATTGACCCCAGCCCCAGGAGTCTGGGTCAGGTGGACCGGGGCAGGGGCGTGTGACCGAGAGAAGAGGGGCAGACAGACTAATGCTAGGGTCAGGGGTCCATTCTCTCCTAGGGACAAACCTACCTGAGGTCCCACCACTCCTGGAGGACCAGGGGGGCCGGTCTTCCCTTGGAAACCCTAGGCGAGGAAGAGAGGAGAATGCAGTGAAAGCAGGTGTGGGCGCTGTGGGGCAGATTCCCAGGAGGAAGGATCCCAGGCAGGATCACACCAAGCCCTGGGCCCTGGGTCTGAGCAGCACCAGGGCAGGCTCCACTCTGCCAGGAGAACGTCCCTGTGGGCTTTCCAGACAGCTCTGGGGTTAAAGGGTCTGATGGAGCCCCCTGAGAATGGGTAGCCAGGAGCATCACTCACCACTTCTCCTCTTTGGCCTGGGTGTCCCGGCAGCCCATCCTTCCCAGGGGGGCCCTGGAAGGGGTTCAGTTGTCAGGTGAACTCTCAGCTGGAAAGCAGGTAGGGAAGAAGGACTCAGAGAAGCGAGGTGGGTCAGAGCTCGGGGTCAACTTACCGGGGGTCCTTTCGGTCCAGGAAACCCGTTGGGACCCTGAGGTCCAGGGAGGCCCTAGAGACAGAGGTGGGGGGAGTCAGGAGAATGGGGGCAGGGGCTGAGTGGGGGAACTCAGCTTCCTTCCTGGGGTGAGGAGGGAGCTGGCTCACCCAGGCTCCCTGGGGACCTCAGGGGAAGGGGACTTTCGATCCACACTCACCCTCTCTCCAGGGGGCCCATGGGGGCCATCACCACCAGATGTTCCCTGTGGGGGGAAACAGAGTCAAGGAGTGGGAAGAGCTGCTTTCCAGCTGTCCCCGAGGTCAGGATGTTGAGGGAGAGCTGGGGCTGAGTGGGCAGGGGGCAGTTGGAGCCTTGTAGAGACCATTCACCTTAGCTCCAGACTTCCCAGTGGCACCTCGGGGTCCCCGCTGACCCCGTGGACCCTACAGAGGGAAGAGGAGTTGTCAGAGAAACCCAAATGCCCCCCTCTGGACCTTGAGCCACCTGTTTCTCTCCCCTGCACTCACCGTGGGGCCCCGTTCTCCCCGAGGCCCTGACTTCCCCGACAGGCCCTGGTGGGAATGAAGCAGAGAGAACATTACCCAGGGTGAGACTCCCCACAGACCCCCTCTACACCTCTCCAGCCCTTCCCTTCTCACGCCCTCCCACCCCCCAGCTTACCCGGGCTCCCTTCTCTCCACTGGCACCAGGAAAGCCAGGAAATCCTAGGGACCCCTGGTGAGAACGGAGAAGGGGGGAAATTGAGAAGTTATGAAAGGTAGGGTTCAGGAAGGGGCAAAGGGGGTCAGGAGAGGCCACAAAGGCAGTGGCCAGGGAGACCCGAGCTCTGCCAAGAACTAAGTGGCCTTGGACAAACCCCTGCTGCTCTCTGGGCCTCTTTCGGTCATCTGTAAAATGGGGGTCAGCTAAATTCCCTCTGGGGTCCCCCACTGCCCTGCATCTGTGCTTTCTGGAATCAGGGATCAGGGAAGCGAAGAGGAGGAGGGAAGAGGAGGAGGGGCACGTATGGGGCATGGCATCACCTTGGGTCCCTGACGTCCAGGATAGCCAGGCAGACCAGGAACACCCAGCTTGCCCTGTGGAGGGACAGGAAGCAGTTAGGAGTGAGAGGAGGCCCAGATGCCACTCCACCCCTGGAGACCTCAACCCTCACATATAACAGCCAGCCCCCACCCAGCAACACACCCCACACACCCCAGCCTCTAGCCCCTCATTGCTTGCCCCACAGCTGCCTGACTTTTGTTGTCTCTCCTTCCCGTGAGTGGATTTTCCCCAATTCTAGTGCTGGGATCCCACCTCCCCTGCGCCTACAGAGGTATCAGGTCCTTCAGGGTCACTGTGATCTAGCTGCTTCCCACATGTCAACCTCAGCTCCATCTACCCCATGAGGGAGGTGGGATCTACCCCAGCACCCACTCCTGCTTCACCAAGACCAATCCCCCTGCAGGCCCTTTGCCCACCACACCCCGACTCCCGTGCATGCCCCCTTCCCCAGAGGCTCCAGGGCTCATCCTGCCCAGGCAGCTGCAGAGCAGGGCTTAGAAGCAGAGATTCTGAAGCCAGACTGCCTGGGCATAACCCCTGGCTCTGCCCTTCACTGGCCATGTAATCAACAAGCATCCCTGTGCCTCTGTAAAACCTCAGCAAAACAGTACGTCACATGCCTACCTCATAGGATAGATAGGACGCATCAGCACAGCACCTGGCACAGGGCAAGTGCTGGGGAGAGTCAGCTCTGGAGACCACAGACCTCACTGCTATTAGACTCTCTCATCTCAGAACTCCTGCTGCTTGGAGTCCGAACGCATGTTCACTCTGCCTTGAAGCAACAGCTACTCTCTAAGCTTCGTCTCCGTCCAACTCTTCGTGTCAGGGACTTTTCCCTGACTTCTTATATATCCCCTCTGCCCATCAGCAGCTGAGAGATGCCATTTACACAGACAGAAGTATGACTAATGCATGGCCATCTTCAACTGACTGGCTGACTTCAGCGGCGGGCACCCATGCCCATCCTGACCCCAGTGCCCACACCCCCAGAGGACCCAGGCACAGAACCCTCATCCCATCACCTTCTCGCCCATGAGCCCTGGGGGCCCAGGGTCTCCAGTCGGTCCAGTGCGTCCCTTTGGCCCCTCAGGACCATCCTCTCCCCTGGAACCAGGGACTCCAACTTCGCCCTGTGTGAGAGGGAAGGACAGGTGAGTGCTGGGGACTGGAGGTGGGCTCTGGGCCCAGAGGAGAAATGGGCAACAGTGAGGCTGAGGAGGGCTAGAGGGGTCCCAGGAGCCACTGCAGGACAGGAAGCCCACAGGGTAGGGATAGTGTAGTGATGGGAGGGCAGGCATGACACAGACCATGGGGCTATCATCCTGTAGGGGTCAGGCTCCCAAGGGAACACAGCACTGGAACTGTGGAGTCTGGAGACTCAGGAGAATAAACCGGTGCTTGGCGTCTCCAGAGTGGAGGCTCAGTAGAACACGGAATTGGGGCCAGTGTGGGGTCTCTACTCACCCTGTCACCTTTCACGCCTATGTCACCTTTGAACCCAGGAAAGCCATCCTCACCCTGAGAAAGATAGAGGTGAGAGGGCACCACAGATGACAGAGGGCTGGGGTTCTAATGGGAATTCTGAGAACATAGGTGGAAGCAGGGGCTCGGGAGCTGGACGGCAGTGCGGGGCAGGCTGGAGGGAAGGCAGTGAAGAGAGGAGATGGCAGGACTGAGGTGCTGGGAAGCTGGGGGCATGGTGCTCACCTTCTCACCCTTATGACCCTTCAGACCCCGAATTCCGTCCACACCCTAGAATTAGAGAGGGGATAGAAGTAGACTGATCAGGGGATGGAGGTGGGTTGGAAGGACCAAGCTCCTAAGACCCCATATAGCTCCCCTGACCACAGCCCTTTGTCTCCCAGCCTGGTGGTCAGTTACCTTGACCCCTCGAGGTCCTGGGTATCCTAGAGGTCCCTGAGGTCCAGAGGGACCCTGGAAGATAAAAGAGAGGCATTTATAAAGGGGCCTCAGAGTGTCACTGTGGGGGCCTCCAGGGGTGGAAGAAATGGAAGTAACAACATTGCTGTCTGGGTAGGGTTACGGGGCACAGGAATTGAGAATGTGGCAGAGCCATATGAATAATGAGACAAGGGAATCCCAAGGACTTTGAGGCTCTAGAGTCTGAGTGGAGACTCCCTCAGGGGATAAAGACATGGAAGATCTCACCTGGTTTCCTTTGGTTCCAGGGGGACCTTCCTTCCCTGGGTGACCCTGGGAGTAAGGGATAGAAAATGTGACCAGTGGCCCCTGTCACCCTCTCTGCACCCCTCCCTACACTTCTTCCAACCCAAATTTCCTGTGACCTAGTGAAGCCAACTGTCCATGGACAAGCACCACCAGTGACCTTTCAGTGCAAGGGTCACTAAAGGAGCTCTGAGGTCATGCACTGGGGTGGAAGGCCAAGGGGAACTGGATTCGGAAGTGGGGTCCCACTCACCGGGGGTCCGTCTGAGCCAGGCATGCCGGGGAGCCCTGGCTTCCCTTGAGGACCCTGCAGGAAGACAAAGAGGCTCAGGGTCACTAGAGGGGTCATGTCTGGACACAGACAAAATCCCAGCAGACATTTAGGGTTCTCCCTACATCCCCACTCTAAACCCCCTGTCCTCCAAATCACTTAGTCACTTACCTTCTCTCCATGAGGGCCGATGGCACCCTGGGGCCCGGGAAGACCCTACATACAGGGAAAGAGAAGTCACAGGGGCCTCCCAGGGTCTCTTCTATCCAGCCTCCCGGATTCAAAGCATGAGCAACAAGGGCCTGAAACCCTTAATTTCCTGTATCCTTCCAGGGTCTCACCCATTGTGGAAGCCCAAGGGAAGTCATGAAAATTGGGGAACGGAGTAGGGGCACCGCTCACCTGGGTCCCAGGGGTGCCCTGTTGTCCAGGAGGTCCTGGCTCTCCCTGGGGTCCCTAGAAACAGGTGACCAGGCACAGGTCAGAAGGAGATGGAGATAGAACACATTTAGAGCATGGAGCTGAGTCCCAGCAGCGATAGCCAAGAAGGCAAGAGCAGGAAGCAGGCAGGGGTCAAAATGGCGGCCAACAGGATGCTGGCAGGGACCTCGGGGGATAAGAATGGGGGTGGGATCTCCTATCCATCACTCACCAAGCTCCCTTTGGGGCCCTGGGGACCATCCATGCCTCGGACGCCCTGAAACACAAGATGGGTGTGAGCAGCCTGAAGGTGGCCCGGAGGGACCTGTGGTTTTCAGAGGCCCGGCCATTCCCGAGGGTGTGACGGTCAGACCTCCAATCCATCCCAAACCCAAGCAAACACAGCTGGCCCAGGCCTGCAGTGTGTGGGACTGTGGATCTGTGGGCTTGTGGGCTTTGGTTTTGTTTTTCTTGAAGATTTATTTCCTATGCCCAGAGCCCTCAGGGCACCACGCCACATGGCCCTCCCTGTGCACGGGGAGCGAATGCTGAGGCAGGGCAGTGTGGGGCCAGAGCAGGGGGAGCTCACAGGGAATGGGAAGCATGCCGAGAGAGGAGAGGGAGCAGGAAGGCAGCTAGAAAGGTGGAGAGTTGGAGAGGTCAAGGGGTCACCTCAGGGTCAGAAGTCAGGGAGTCACTTACAGGGGGTCCAGGAATACCAGGTGGGCCTTTGGGGCCAAGGAGACCTCGAGGTCCCTGCATTCACGGTGAGGGGAGGAGACGGCATGAATGGATAAAACTGTGTCCCTTTAGTGCTCATGTCCCCCTCCTGGCTTCCCCAGAGCCCCCTCCCCCAGCACCAGCCCTTGGACACTCACCGACTCTCCAGGCAGCCCTCGAGGCCCAATCTCCCCGTCATCTCCCTGGAGGAGGAGGACACGGTAAAGCTGCTGTGCCTTCTAGACCTCCCCTGCACCCAGCCCCTACATTTGCCACTACACTTACCCTCTCTCCATCCTCACCAGGGGGACCAGGAAGGCCCTGGGCACCAGTATCACCCTGCAAAATGGGGGAACTCATAAGAGGGGCTTCAGAGCCCCCAACACAGGCAGACACCGAACCTCTGCACTTAGCCCATCCATTACTTTCACTGAGCTCCTGCCAAGCCTCCAGCCTCCCTTCCCTACCTATCCTCACTCCCATAGAAGATCTATCCCCAATTACAACACACACCCACTAATGTACTCACCCTATGGCCCTTCTCTCCAGGGAGCCCTGGGAGTCCATCAAAACCTCGGTCACCCTAGGAGGAGGAAGGATAGCCAGAGTGAGGACACGACCCTGTCCAAGCCCACCCCTCCCTACTGCACCCTGAGCTGGGGGGGTGCTGATCCTGGGGAAGCCTGGAGAACTAGGTCATCCCCAAGAAACAACTGAGCCCAGCGTGGGCTGAAGGCTACAGGCTTCAGGGAGGGGCCCAAGCCTGTTACCTTCACTCCAGGATCTCCAGGCATCCCTCGGGCTCCATCAGCACCTGCCCGGCCCTGGGAGAACAAGGGAAGTGTCAGAACAAGCAGGGCCGCAGTCCCCTACCCTGCAGGCCCTGTCTCCCCACAACACCCATCCACCCCTGGGGCACTCACCCTTCGCCCAGCCTTGCCAGGAGGGCCTGTGAGGCCCTGAGGTCCTCTGGGGCCCTGGTGAGAGGAGAGATGGGGTGGGGTTAGGAGGCATAGGGAGGGGAGTGAGGGAGACTGAGCTGGTGAACAGATATGGGGGTGCAGTGGAGGAAAGTGGTCACCTGAGGTCCTAAGTCTCCAGACTCTCCTTTCAGGCCAGGGCTCCCAGGTTGGCCCTGGGAGAGAGAAGAGAGGATGGCCGTAAGGAAGGACACAGCCAACAGTGGCCTCGGAGTGTTCCCCAAAAGAAGCCCCTTTCCAGAACTATCCACACCCCACACACAATTAAAGCATCCTCCACCCGAGCACCCTGCTCACTCACCAAGGGTCCAGGGCGCCCTGTGTATCCCATGGGGCCAGGGGGTCCACGGAGCGCCAGCTAGGGGAGCAGGGGGACAGCAGAGCTGAGGGACAGGCAGTGGGAACCCCCAGCCCCAGCACTCTCCAAATTCACCCTTCCTCTCCTGATCCTCATCCACTGCCCAGGATTCTCCCCAACCTCCCTGTTAACCCCAAACCAACCCAGGCCTCCCCTGCCGCACACTCACTCCAGCCAACCCTTCCAGTGCCCCCCAGAGCCTTCCCTTTCCAGGGAAGCAGCCCCACTCACCCTCGCCTGCTGCAGGATCGCCTGGGCCTGAGCCTCCTGGGCCGCCACCACAGGGCCCTTGTCACCCCCACCACTGCCAAACCGGAACTGAGGGCAAGGAGAGAAGGTCCAGGTTCTCTTCCAAGAAAGCCATGGGACCCTCCCAGCCAGAGGCTTTCTCCAGCGTTTCTGCCCCTTGCCCCAGGTTCTGCCCATCCAGCATTTCCCATGGCTTCCAGATAATCACTTAGAGGATTCCAGAAACTCAACTCCTGCCCTCCTCCACTGTCCAGCCTCTGCCTCCAGAAAGACTCTCTTTTGGTTCTAGAGCTCCTGAAATATAGGCTGTTCTGCCCAGTCCTAGAAGACTGGTGTTTTGTTCTAGGTCACCTAATGAGGCCCCATCTCCCCAACCCCAAAGACGAATCCCTTTGGAGTGATGATCTTTGATGATCTTTAGAGACTCCTCCATATCTTTCCTGCCCATCTGGTTCTTGGTAACATGACACAATTCCTTGTCTTCCCCATCAGCATGTTCCAAAACCCAAGAGACAACTCACTGGGAGCATGAGAGATGTGCCAGGAGGACCAGGAGCCCCATCTGATCCAGGGAGCCCTGCTCGGCCAGGGGGGCCCTGGAGTGGGAAGAGAATGCAAAAGATGGGGTGAAAGATAAGGGGACATCAAGATCTTAGCATGATTTTGAAATATCCTCTTCAACAGAATAAGTGTAGATTGCTCTAGCTCTTTCCTGAGTCTCCCACCCCCATGGGGAAAATTGAGGGTGAGAAACCAGATCAGCACCCTCCCCAACCAGAGTCTGCCCTCCTTTCTGGTTGCTGGGAAGCACAACCATCCCCTCATTCATTAACAAGCCACCTAACAGGAAATTACTGGGCATGGTAGCCCCCCGCTTGGATACCACTAGCTCCCCCGAAGCTCCCCCGTCACATGGAGGACACCCCCTTACCCTCTCTCCAGGGTCTCCAACTGGGCCTGGGTTCCCCTGGATGCCAGGGGGACCAATCAATCCCTGAGGAACAAAAGAGTAGGGGTCAGGTGTGGGCATTCAGACAGGTGTGGACACTCAGCCTGTGGCTGAGGAGTGGTCTGTGCAGAACAGATCTGGGAATCTGGGAAGCGTTGATTGGAGGGATGCTCCCGAGTTCTGAGGAGGAGGCCTGGGCATATGTGGGGAAGGCTCAGATGAGCACATAGAAGGGGTTTCTAAGAAAAGAATGGCCACCAGGTCACTGCTAGACTTACCGCAGGGCCTTCTGGGCCAGGGGGCCCCTCCACGAGCATACCCTGTGGAGTCAAAGGTTAAAAATCAGAGGCGACAGGACCAGCACACTCAACCCCACTTGCTTCTCCTATTTCCACTGCCTCAGCCCTGTGACCAGCATAACTTACAGGTTCCAACACTGCAGGCTCTCCTTTCTCTCCCTTCAGCCCTCGGGGTCCATGGGCAGCCTGAAGGAGACACACATGTAGCCCCCAGTGGGGCCCGTGAGCAGCCAGGACACTAGGCCTTTCTCCATCTCAACTCCAACCTTGATTCTTAGATCCTCTCGAGACCACTTCAGCCCTACCCGAAAGCCCCACAGCCCTCCCCTAAAACTCCCTCTTCACAAACCTTTCAAGCCTGCCAAGGAGACCTCAGGGTTCCCTGCCCCCCCAGTTCCCAGCCCCACCTCAGCAAACACAACCTCTCCATCTCCCTGAGAGCCTCTTTCAGGAAGGTCCCCAGAAACTTCCAGTGTTTTTGTTTGTTTGTTTGTTTTTCTTTTTTTTTGAGACGAAGTCTTGCTCTGTCACCCAGGCTGAAGTATAGTGGCGCGATCTCGGCTCACTACAACCTCTGCCTTCCAGGTTCAAGTGATTCTCCTGCCTCAGCCTCCCAAGTAGCTGGGATTACACTGGGATTACAGATGTGCACCACCATGCCCGGCTAATTTTTGTATTTTTATTAGAGATGGGGTTTCACCGTGTTGGCCAGGCTGGTCTCAAAGTCCTGACCTCAGGTGATCCGCCTGCCTTGGCCTCCTAAAGTGCTGGAATTACAGGCGTGAGCCACCACACCTGGCCCCTTTCAGGGATTTTAAACCACCCACCTTCCCAAACCCTCTTCTAGAGGACCCTATCCCATCTCCCAAACTCCCTCCCTAGAACCTTAAGAAACCTTCCACACATTTACCCCAATACATCATAAAAGAATCTCTCTAAGATTGTGGGTAGATTTTTATTTGGGGTAAGAGGAGGGCATGGACCCACATGAGAACCTGATAAAAGCTAGGCCGGGCGAGGTGGCTTACGCCCATAATCCCAGCACTTTGGGAGGCGGAGGCAGGCAGATCACCTGAGGTCAGGAGTTTGAGACCAGCCTGACCAACATGGTGCAACCCCGTCTCTAATAAAAATACAAAATTAGCTGGGTGTGGTGGCACATGCCTGTAATCCCAGCTACTTGGGAGGCTGAAGCAGGAGAATAGCTTGAACCCAGGAGGTGGAGGTTGAAGTGAACCAAGATTATGCCATCGTACTCCAGCCTAGGCAACAAGAGCAAAACTCCATCTCAAAGAAAAAAAAGAATCTGATGAAAGCTGTGAGTCTTTCTCCAGAAATGAAAAAGTATATGCTATTATGCACAGAATTTTATTTAGGATTTCAAAGGGTTCACAAGTTTAAATATGCCCCAAAGGTTAAGCATCCATACTCTAAGTAAATTTGGAGGCCAGGCACGGTGGCGCACGCCTGTAATCCCAGCACTTTGTGGGGCCGAAACAGGCAGCTTATTTGAGGTCAGTAGTTTGAGACCAGCCTGGCCAACATGTGAAACCCCGTCTCTACTAAAAATACAAAAAATAGCCGGGCGCAGTGGCACATGCCTGTAACCCCAGCTACTCGGGAGGCTGAGGCAGGAGGATCGCTTGAACCCAGGAGGCAGAGGTTGCAGTAAGCCAAGATCCTGCCACTGCACTCCAACCTGGGTGACAGAGTGAGACCCTGCCTCAAAAAAAAAAAAAATTGGAGAGCAGTCCCCACTGAATGCATTGCCCTTCCTCTGGCCCTCAAGTACATTCCAAGCCCACCAGTTCCCTCCCTTGCACACCTCCACTCAGATACCTGTTCCCAACTCTAGGGCCAGAAACAAAATAAGAACATGGAGAATGGGAGACATTCACCACCACCCCAACTCCCCCCAACAAAGATCTTCAGAATGCCCCTCTCCACCTTCATTCTGACCAAACAGCAATGATCCGTTTCAAAATTCTCTGAAATCCCATATCAACCCCAAATACCCAGAGAGCAGCATAAAGGAAAGGCAGTAGAAGCTCAAGGGAGGCAAGAGAGGGGAGGTATGGGATGCGGCAGCAGGGTAGAGGAGGCAGCCAGAACTGCAAGGCAGGCAGAAGACGGAGCGGAGTAGACAGGAAGCAGTCCCACTGACAGGGAATACTGGAAGATATGAGAACAACTAAGGGACACAGAACAAAATGACAAACACTTGGAAGCAAGAATGATGCCAGGGCCGAAGAAAATTAAACATGGCCAACATGGCTAGAAAACAAACTGGACAAACAGGAAGTGGCTGAACAGACAGGAAGCAGTGAAGGAAAGAGGATCCAGGAAGTGAACCTTCAACAACAACATGGCTACCGTGACCCAGAGAGAAAAGAAAGGCACAAAACAGGTAGAATGTGACTCCTGCAAAGGGAATCATGACAGTGAAGGGTAATTCTTCCAGAAAACACAAACATCAAGGCTAGGACACACAGGAAGTAGCCATGAGAAATATCGAGGCCCACAATGGAAACTTTATGATTTAAATGACCTGAGACATACAGGAAGTGGCTTATTGTCAAAGGAAATTGTCACAAGATAGCATGAAAAACTAGAGCCAGAACAGAAATAATAAATCCTTTGCAGTCCAACCTGACACAGTTACCAAGATGGATGCCACAGCTGGAGAAGGCAGGAAGGGACAGATAATAAGTGGCCTGTAGGTTAAAAAAAGGTGACATAGGAAGTTAGATCGTTTGGTAGAAACATGAACAAAAAATTATTTCACCAAGAAGAAATGATAGAGAAACACTGAAAATGGACACAAGGTAGTAGTTTATTGACCAAAAGCTTTATGAAATCCAGCTTCAGTTAGACAGGAAGTGATCAAGAAAGACAGGAAGTGGCTACATATTTTTTTTTTTTAATTCCCAATTGCCCTGAGCTTCAGAAGTATCCACAAGAGTCACAAGGTAAGACATTTGGCAAAGGAAGGCAGGTAGTAATCTTTTCAAGCAACATATACATCATATGTGAACAGAAAATGACAAGTCACAGATGGGAAATAGCTCACAGCCAACAGCCAAGGATCGAAACCAACAAGAAGCAATTCTTGTAGCTCCCACTGGTAGTCAAGAATGAAAGAGAAGCTCCTTTCACTTACGGCTCCTGAGTGGGCTGTCTCCGCAGAGAGGGCAGGGCCAAGCTCTGTCTCCTCACGATAATCATCCCCATAGCCATAGGTGTAATCGTAGGGCCCTTCAGGGGGGTCTGTGCCACCCTCCCCATATTCCTCTGCCTGGAACCTGTCGGCTGTGGGGGGGACCTGGAGATCTGTCTGCTCCTTCCCAGGGATGGGGAGGGAGAGGGGTAGATGGGGATGTTAGGGCTGAGAGGAGGCTTACCCTGGACCCCAGGGTGTGACAACTTCTAGCCCAAAGGATTCCAAGGTTAATCAGAACTGGATTTTTTCTCCCAAGAATAGCCATGGGAGTGGTTGTATATAAATGGAAGGGCCATCAAAGGCCAAAAATGGGGAGAGATGTCCAGAAAGTGGGTCCAGTGGGAAGAAGTGGTGGATAAAATGAAGGGTGGCCAGAGGACTGGATGCAGAGTGGACAGTCCATGGACACAATGACAGACAAAGGAGTCCAGGAATGACCAAAGAGATAGGGAAGACAAAAGGTGACAACACTGGACAGAAAGTGGCTCCCGGGAACAGAAATAGGACATAGAAAGTAAGACCATTAGACACCAACATGGAGACGAAGTCACTCAGGAATCAAAGAATCATGGAAGGAGGCCTGGATACTGAAGGGAACGGGCTGGACTTAGAGAGTCAAGCAGGCCCATAGTTCTAGAGTGACCCAAAGACAGAGGCCATCGATGGAAATGAGGAAGAACCCTCCGGCCAGAGGAGGGGCTGGTCCATCAAGACGTCATGGGCTGAGGGGAGTGAGTCACAGGTGCCCACTGCCCCCAGATGGGGTGAGGGTGGGGCATAGAGTTACCTCCTCAAGGGGTGGCAAGAGGCTCGACTCCAGGATTTCTTCCTCTTCACCTGGGGTGGGGTCCTGACCCCAAGGAGAGAAGGAGAAGAGTAGCACGGGGTGGGAAGGAAGGAGAAAGGTTAGCAGAAGGGAGGCAAAGCAGCACCTGTCCCCCGAGGGCAGGGTCTGTCTGTGCTGGGGGATGGGGGAAATCTCAGATCTTGCAGCCCCTTTGGAGGGGGATAGTTTGGGGAGAGTGAACCTCCAAGGTCATAGAGGTTTGGGGGCAGAGATCTGGATGCCCCGGCTCTACCTGCCGGTAACTGCTGCCTCTGGTCCTGGGGCGGGGCCAGGCAGTGGGGGAAGCTGCCCTCCGAGCTGGGCATCGGGAAAGGGGAGGCTGCTCCCATGCTGGGTCAAAGCCTGCAGTTGGAGAGGGCCTCCGGCCTGGTGAGGGGGACGCCTGCCAGGTCATTGACCTCTTGGCAGGTGGGGTAGGCTTTCAGGGAGGGGTCCGATGCCCCCTAGGGGAAGGGGGAGGCCTGTGGTGGGGGCTCCCAGGGCGCTGCAGCAGAGAGACAGGGAGGGGGCAGGAACTAAGTAAATCCCCATAATCTAAACACACTGTGCCTCTCCCCACGGCATGGGGGAGGGGAGGAAGGTGTCCTAGGAGATGATTGCTGGGGGTGCTGGGAGAAAGGGAAGAAATGAAGGGGTCCCTTGAGTTTACCTGATAATCAGGGGTTGTCCCCGTAGTCATCACATCATAATAGGGGGGCTCGTAGTCATAGTAGAGAGACTCAGTGGGCTGGGATTGGGGGGTGGGCATAGACAGGAAGGGGATGGGGTAATTGGAAGGTGTGGGGTGAAGGGCGGGAGAGGGAGATATAAAGATGGTGTGGGAGTTGGGAAACGGGGGAGGTGTGGAGTTGGGAAACAGAGAGTTGAAGATGAAAGGAGAGGTTGAGGGTCAGGAGGGAGGTGGGGAGAGGTGGAACAGAGGGAAGGGGTTCCACATGTGGGGCAGAAGCAGACATGATTAAGAGATTGACCCTCTGATCTTTAGACCACTGACCCCAGAGCCTATCTGTATTCTAACTCTCCAGACCCCATCCAACCCAGGCTCCCTTCCCTTCCCTTCCCTTCCCTTCCCCCTACTACCTCCCCTTTTCCTGCCCCTCCAGGTAGGTGGGGGCCAGAGACTGGGTTCCCCACTCCCACACTTCTGCAGACCCACCCCTCCTTTGATATTCCCTCCATCCCTACTCCTTCCCATTCCTCCTCCTTGGTCTCACCATCCCGACTGCTTTCTCCTGGCTTCAGTCCCCTCTCCTACCTGCCTCCCCAGCTCTCACCCCTCTCCCACTGTCTCCCAATCTCTTAATTCAAAGAAGGAAGGGAAAACCCAGGGACACAGTTCCAGGAAGACTGGAAGAGGAGACGCAGAGCAGGGAACACAGCTCCCAGCCACAAATTCTTCATAACAACTCTTTTTATTTTTAGATGAAAATAAAAAGGCTGATGAATGAGGACTAGGAGGAGGGGGTGATGGGAATAGGGAGATGAGGGTGGGGAGGACAACTAAGGAGGAGAGATGCCTGGGTGTCTTCCCTCTCTGGGGTGTGCTGCACTTGGGGGTTCTCCCAGCTCCCTCACCTGGCTCTGGGGTTCCTGATTTTGTGGCCTGTGAAGTCTTGATGGTTGCTGCTGTGGAGATCTCTGGGCTCTGTGAGGCTGTTGGTTTTGGGGTCTTTCCCTCTGGCCCCCCTCGCATTCCAGCTCCTTCTGTTCACATGATTCATAGGCTGCCTGGACCCCTGGGACAATGGCCAGCTCCTGGACATCACCCTGCAAAGACATGAGAGAGATGGAGCGGAGAGATTCAGAGAGAGGCAGAGGGTATCATCCGGGAGAAAGAGTATAGGAGGCCAATCCTAGGTAAAACCCTAAGATGGGAGAAGGTCACTGTCAGTCCTCCATATGCATAGCCCTTTTCAGTTTTCAAGGGATCTCATAGGACCTTCATAACAACCAGGAAAGTTGGCAGAACAAGGATCTTTCTTTCTACCCATTTTTCAGATACGTTCCATTCAGAAAAGCCCAAAAAGGCAATGACTGCCCCAAGGTCACCCAGAGTGGCAGAATCAGGACCAGATCCCAGGCCTTCCAGAATTCTTTGCCTCCCCTCTGCGCTTTGTGGCAATGCATGAGCCCTTCCACAGTGGCTTCCAGAGACAGGGCTCAGCTTTAGATGCCTTGGCCTTCCAATGGCAGTGATGATGAGAATTCTCTGGACCTCTAGAAATGGAGTGGGGAGAACCCATTCCTGAGTTCCAATGGCATTTACTTTTGCCCACACATGGTGCTTAGCATACTCTCCATTGCACCGTAATTTAGGGATGTTGTCTCATTTCCAGAGCCCACCTGGGAGCTCTTGGGGGTGATAGAGACTTTATATTCTCTTCTTTGTTCTCCTTGTCCAGCAGGTATTCAGAAAATGTTGACTGGCTTGGAGGGTGAATGGAGGGATGGGTGAATGGAGGGATGGATGAATGGATAGATGAGTGGATGGGTGGCTGGGGGCTTACATGCATTAATGAATGGGAGCATTGATAAATAGTGAATGAATAAATGTACGTATGGGAGGGTGGACTGGTGGGCAGATGAACAGGGGTTACAGAGTAGATGGAAGCAAATGGGTGAATAGGTAGATGGGTGAACTTATGTGGGTGAATGACTGGTCGGATGGGAAGTAAGTGGGTCAGGAGATGGGTGAGTGAGTATATTGAAGGAGGGAGTGGTTGAGTTGGTGGAAGGATAATGGATAGATGGTGGCTGAATGGATGCATGCATCCTTGTGTGCATGGGTAGATGGGGAGGGTGGGTGGGTGAGTGAATAGCTGGATGGAGGAGTTGAAGAGGATAGATGGGTGGAAGCATAGATGGGTGGTTTGAAGGGGAGAGTGGTTAAGCAGGGGGAGGATTGACAGGTGGGTGGATATAAGCCTTCATGCATGACTAGGTGGGCGTGTGATGCATAGATGAGTAAATAGATGGGGGAGTGGGTGGTGGATGTGTGCATAGGTTGGCTGAGGAGTGAGTGAATTGATGGGTGGGTGAGGAGAGAGAGGGGTTGAAAGGATGGATGGATGAGGGAACTGATGAAGACTGAAGGACAGAGTAAGTGGCTGTGGACAGTCCTGCCATATAGGTAGGCATCTAGTTCTCCTGCAGAGAACAGTAGCCCTGAAGATAGAAAATAGAAATGAAAATTCATAAGAAAAAAAAATGAAGGCCTAGGGAATAGGAAGATGACATGCTGGGGCCAGAAGGGTAGTGGGCACAAGATAGGGGACCAGAAGTCAATCCTGCCTCTGATTGCTCTGGTTACCTCAAAGACTTCTTCATCCAGAATACGGGCACCAAAGATGATCACTCCATGGGTGTCCAATACTGGACGAGCACTTCGGGGGAGAGGCCGGGTGACTCGCTTCTTGCAGTCAACAATGAGGGTGACAGACTGGCCCTTCACAGCCACAGCCACACGGTGCCACCTGGAAATGGTGGAAGAGGTTCAAGTGAACTCTTGGCTGACTGAAGTAGGGGAGTCAACATGGTTGGAGAGCAGTGATAAGAGTTGAAGCCAATGGTGATAAGAGCAGTAATAACAATGGCTACCATTTATTGAGTGTTTACAGTGCACCAGACACCATGCCGTCACTTTCTTATTTGTGCCAATTCTATTTAATGTCTATTTTACAGATGTAGAAACTGAGGCTCAAAAATTTTAAGTAACTTGCCCAAGGTACAGGCTAGTTCAACATGCAGAGAAGGCTGTACACTCTAAAGCCCAAACTCTGGACTAGAAGTGACTGAAGTTTGGGCAGTGGGTAGGTGTGGTGTGGCCCAAAGGGTCTCAAGGGTTTCACAGTTTAGAGTGTAGGGGTTTGGGGGCACTTCCTCCTGAAAGTGTGGGCCAGGCAGACCAGAGGAGCAAACAAACTTACTTGCCATCTGCTAGGCTGAGGCCTCGGAAGACTGGCTGAGAGGGAGGTTGAGGCCGCCCAGTCTGGTCTTCATACAGGAAGCGGACAGGTCGGCCCAGCTCCAGGCCCAGCTGTCGGACACCCTGGGCACTGTAGAGAGTCAGGAGGGGAGCTTGGAGACCAGGGCGGGTCCGGACAACAGTCAGCAGAGAGAAATCTTTGGGAAATCCTCCTAGTAACCGAGAGAGATACACACAGAGTGAGAGGCAAAGGGAGCCGCCACAACCCCTTTCCTCCTGGTGTCTGATCCTAGGCCCCATCCCATTACCTCCCCCCAGGCCTACCCCACCATGTCACCCATACCTGGGAAAAGCTGGCGAGTGGGTGCACTGAGCTGGGCAGGTCGTGCCACTCGGTAGGCCACATCAGCTGGACAGATGCCTTTCGCTCTCCGGACACCATCAGGGAGGGAGGGGAACCTCAGGGCCCGGAGCACATCCACAGGGGGTGCACCTGGGAGAGTCCATGATTATCAGGAGAAGGGACATGCCCTCAGGAGGGCATAAATAGGGGACATTTGGGATCTAGAACTCAGCTTTCCAGGGCTCAAACTCCCTGCAAGGGAAAGGTCACCTCACCCTCACTTGCTTCTGAACAGTACCTGAATGGATGGGAAATGCAAAGGTACCTGGAGGCAGGGCAGCATCAGCTGGCATTCAACCCCATGACACTCCTGCCCCTGTCTCTCCTAGCATCTGCCTCTCTTACGCTCTCTCTTTGTCTTTTAGCTTATGAATCTGTCTCTCTCTGTACTCTCTGAATACTTCTCTCAACTCTTCATCTGTCTCCTGTCTCTCTCACTCTCTTACTCTCTCTGTCTCTTTATGTTGGTCTTTCTGTCTCTGTCTCTTCTGTCTTCCTCCATTTCTCTCACATTCTGTCCATCTTTTTCTCTCCCTCGCTCTCACTCTCTTTCCATATCTCTCACTCTCTGGGTCTCTGGCATCTGTCCCGTCTCCAGCACAAACAACATCTGGGCAATCGATCATCCTGGACACAGGAGGTGCAGGGGGGCCACGAGGAAGAGATCAGAGAAGCAGCTCTATGAGAGGGGCTTCAAGCAGCTACAGATCCCAGGTTTGGGGGATGGGGTGGGAACAACCCTGAGCATGCTGAGGAAAAAGATACAAGAAAGCTCTCCCAGGAGTCTGTGCCTCCTGGTTTAGGAGATGAGTTGGGGAGGGGTGGAGGAATGGGGGGCAGGGGCTGAAGCTGCCACGAGGAGCCGGAACAGGTCCAGGGCCCTGAGCCACACATCTGTGGATCCCATCAGAGTGCTTGCCCAGAACCCAGGCAAGCTCCCCACACCTGGAACCTCAATCCTGTCTCACCACCCCCACCAACCCCACCACCTGGGACCCAAAGATTCAAGATCCAGCCCACCAGCCCTGTCTAACTAGAACTCAGCTTCCTAGGGCTCAAACTCCCTGGAAAACAAAAGATCACCTTGCCCTCACTTGCTCCCCTATACACATACTCTTCACACCATCAGCTCCAGATTGGAAAAATCCCAAAGAGAGTTCCAGCAAAACTTTCATAGAAGTGTGGGGCAGGGCAGAGGCCAGAGCAATCAGGAGAGTGGAGCTGGGTGGGGTGGGTGAGGTGGGGCGGGCAGGCAGAGAAAAGGCCCTTTGAGTCCAGGAGCCGGGAAACCACGGCCTTCCCCCCCAACCCCCACCTAAGCCTGGCCCCTGCGCGTGTGGCAGCTCCGCAAACACCAACACACAAGGGCCGCTTTGAGAGACGAAGGGTGAGTGAGACAGAGACACAGAGACTCACAGAGACCCCAGGCCAAGGAGACCTCGGAGGTCCCCACCCTCCACCAAATCCCAAGGGAGTACAATTCGATCATATGGACAACCTACCCACAGGTCCGCCCACCATCTTCCCACACCAGGCCACATACTTGCCCCCCTGTATCCAGCCTCATCTGCCCCACAGGCTCTCCACTGGTAGCCCCATTACCCTCCACCACTCTACCTCTGGCCCCCCAAATGCCTTATTCTCTAACCTTAGGAATTCTACAGTAACTCATTTCCCTAAAGTCCCATCTCTACCCACTCAGCCCCTGAAATAAGAAACAGTCATCTTAGCCATCCCCCTGCCTCCATGCCAGAGGATCCCTCTTCCCCCTAAGAAAGACTCCTAGAGTCTACAGGCACCATACGCCTCAATTTCCTGGCCCTGGGCTTCACTGTCCTCACATCTTGGAAGTTCTTCCTTCTGTAATCTAATCTAAATCTTTTGTGCTGCCATTCTGACCATTTTCTCTCTAAAGCAGAGAAGAATTGAATAGTCAAGTTAAATATAAATCAGCCCTCAGTGTCTCCAGAAATGGGCTTTTTCCAGCCTGCTGAGGACCTGGTGCTCACAGCCCCCTCCTTGACATCAAATCCCCTTTCCTAGAAGCCAGGAATTCTGGGTCCTGGGAAAAAGAAGGAAAAGATCAGGGTTGTGGGCACCAGGGTCCCAGGGGAGCCTGGCTGGCCAGAGGGAGGAGGGGCTAGGCAGGAATGCAAAGAGTTGGCTCTGGCCTCAGACACCTGATCCTGGCCTGTCCGGAGGGCCGTCCTGTTGGCAGCCAGCCCCAGTGCTCCCCAGAGCCAGCTGCGTGGCAGCATCGAGGGCACAGGGAGGGGGAGGGGGACCCTGTCCAGGAGGCCAATGAGACAGGTAGTCAAGGCTTCCTTTCTTTCTGGGCTTACTGGGCTCTGCTCTGAATCACAGGTGCTCACCCCTTATCCCAGAGATATCGACAGAAAGGCCATAAGACACACACGCCTCACCCATCAACATTGGCGTCTACCATCCCCACACCAGCAATGACTGGACCGGGCTGGCCCTGGCCATCTTCAGCTCTTCCCAAGGACTCAAGACAAGCATCCATCCCCATTCAGGGTCTCTAAAGTGGTCCTCCACCTTTCAGCCCTATCTGCCCTCCCCCAGTCACTTCAAGGACAAAGAGATTCCTACCCTGATGCCAAGGAACACAGGTGTCCTGCCCTCCAGCCTGTAGCCTTGAAGCCCCAAATCTCCTTGTTAGACTCAGAAGCTGCTGCCCCAGGCATCAGCTGGCCCCTTCCCAGAGACACTCAGAGCTCCAGCCTGACTCCGAGGACCCAGGCATCAGGACTCCTCTTACCTGCCCAGCCTGGGGCCGCGCTCAGCCCCAGCACCAGAGGTAGGAGGAGGAGGAGGCGATGGCAGCGGCTGCACCGCTCCATGGCTGAGAAGCCGAAACGCCGGGTCCCAGGGACCCAGGTCGGCCTGAGACGCTGGATGCCCTGAGGCTGACAGAAGACAGGGAGCAGACTATGAGCCTCAGACGCCGGGGTCCCAGGGAGGTCAGAGGCTGCGGGCAGCGACAGCTGTCAGCGGCCCAGCTCCATGCAGCAAGGCGCCGTCGGGGCTCCCGGCACTGCTCCCTCCTCGGTGGCTGCCGCTTCTGTGTGTCCCCGGCCACCCTGGCGCCCAGAGCCCCCACCTCGCCCCCGCCCCCGGCCCGGCCCCCGCCTCCAGCCGCCCGCCCACAGCCACCGAAGGGAAACCCCACCCTCAGTCTCCACCTGGGGAGGGAGGCGGGAACCCTCCCTCTATCGCTCGCTCTCTCCTGCCCCTTGTAGGTCTCAACGGCCTGTACCCTAAGATTCTCTTTTCGGGAACCCCAATATCTTCCCTAGCCCCTTCCTTTTCTAGGACCCAAACGTCCAGTCACACACACTCCCTCCCATTCCCTCCCTCTTGGGGGCCCAGAGCCCCCTTTCAGCAGAGGCCTGGGCGGGATTTAGGGCACAGTGGGAGGGGGAGAGGCGGGCCTGGGGGTCGCAGTCCCCACCCCACCCATAATCAGGTCTCCATAATTACTTCCCTCACCCCGCCCCGTGTAATTACAGAGCCGGGCCGGGGCGGGGGTATTTATAGACAAGGCTATAGATAGCGACGAACTGGGGCGGGGGATGTGGGGGAAGGTGTTCTACGGAGAGCAAGAGGCCAGAGACTGGGACCCACCGACAAACACAGGATAGTCAGGTCCAAGGAGATGCAAATGGGGGACGCGGTTAGGGAGTCCCAGAGCCGAGGTAGAGGGGGAGCAGTGGTAAGATGAGCGAGCAGTCGACTCTGGTTGGAAGGGTCCAGGGAAATGGGGTCACTCGGGGACGTGGGCCGCCTCCGGGCGGGCAACGCCTGAGAAGCACGCAGCGCTCGGCGCCCAGTGCGCCCCCACGAGCGGGCACGGCGCCGGGTCTGCCCGGAGCCCGCAGCGCGCCCGGAGGGAAGGCCGCAGCGAGCCGAGGCGCCGCCGCCCGCTGGCGCGGAGAGGGCACGAGCGAACAAGGCGCCTTTGAGAATCCACCGCCCCCCCTTCCTCCTCCGGCCGGCCCCGCCCCCAGCCTGGCACACCCTCTCCCCCCCTCCCCGACAAAGCTTGCCTTGTGTCCCCCACCCTGCGTGCACCTCTTGGGCCCCACGGAACCTCGGCGGCGGCGTCCAGGGATCGCGTCCGGAGCTCCCAACCGGATACCCCCCCCAAGCCCGAAACGGCGCTGCCCATCCTCATACAGTCACCTCAGTCCAGAAAACAGCGATTTTAATTTGAAAGCGATTTTATGTATGAGAGGGGAAAGGAGCCCCAAAGAGAAGGGACGCAGGGCAAAAATCATGCAGCCCCAGCACCCCACCTCTGCGGGCTGGCCACCTCCCCTCAATTCTCAGGCCAGGATCCTGTGTCCCCAGCCTATGCTATGTGCCCAGGGCTGGAGGAGAGCTGTAAAGGGAAGGCCTCCGGGACTACACTCGTGAAACCATCCCCTGTGGGGGCCCTGTCCTCACAGCCCAGGCCCCTTCCCCAAGTTAGACAGGAAGAGATAGGGGGGGCGGCGGGAAGCTGGGAAGGCTAGTGCTTGGAGAGCCCTAGGGACAGGCCATTTCAGGGCCCTGCCTTTCCCAAACACCCACCTCCACCACTGGCATTTCTTAGTCAACCTGGGAAAGTACAGTACTTCTTTGAGTCTAACTGCAAGTCTCTATCCTCACAGGAAATTAAAAATAGCAGATCGGTTCCTACATCTCCACCAGCCCCTTCACCACCACCACCACCTTTTTTATATTTCAGTCTGACTGCAGAAGGAGGTGAAGTGTAAAAAGAGACTCTGGACAGTGACAGGGCCCCTCCCTCTTCCAGAGAGGCCCCCATCTGCCAGGTTTGAGAGGAGGAAGGCCTGTCAGGGCCCTACTCTCATGTCCATCAGCTTGGGAGGCCTGCCCCCCAGTATCCACCTCTGGGGGAGTTCCCCATTTCCACTCTTCAGATGGGAAGCAAAATGAGGCAAGATGAGAAGGAAGCAAGGTCCTGGAGGCAAGGCCAGTGCTTTGTGCTGGGGGAAGGACAGAGGGTGAGAAATCACCCCAAATCATGGGAGAACCCGACAAATTCAGAGACTCAAGGCCACCGAAGAGAGACAACCAGTCCTCACAGGTATCTGGGGTCCCTTCCAACTTGGGATATCAAGCAGATCCCTTGGAGGGTTTATGTTCTTGGTTCTGCCCTGTACTTCTCACCCCATCAAGGTTCTGGGAACATGGCCCCCCACCCTGCCCCAGGGCTTGGAGTCCCTCTTGGATGTGTGCTCCTCCAGTGTGAGAAGCACCACGTCTGGGTCTGAGCTCAGGCCAGTTGATGGGGAGCCTCAAGCATCTCCATGAGGAAGGTGTCGATGGGGGTGTCACCAATGAGCTTGAAGAAAAACAGATGCTCTAGACACTTAAGGCCAATGGACCGGAGGGCAGGAAGACGTAGCAGCAGCTTGGCAAACCTGGGGTGGAGGTGGGAGAAGGGGATTGAGAGCTGGAAGCACACGGGCCCTGAACACATCCTCATAGCACTCCCCACCCCCAAGGGAGCCTCAGTGCCCCCCAGCCCCATCTCACCGTCCCTGCTGCTCAGGGTACTTCTGTTTGCAGTAGGTCTCCAGTGATGCATACACTTTCTCCCGCAGGACCTCCACCTCACTAGGGTTGGAGAGGCCCTTGGCATCTGGGATGGCAGGGAAGAGAGGAGGAAGAGAAATGAAGACAAACCAAATCAGGATGGCCATGCAGATGTGAGCCACAGGATGCCCCTTTTGGGCTGCACTTGCTTGCCCTTTACCAGAGGCCTGGCAAGGGAAGCAGGGCCCACTGGGTTTGTGGGATGGATCCGTGGATGTGGGTTTTTCCTCGGCCAGTTGGGAGATTTCCAGGTTGAGGGTCTTACTGAGGGGGATAGCTGGGTAACTTAGGAGTCTCGGAGAAGAGGAGGCTCCAAGGTTGCCTTGGCCTTGAGAGACAAAGGTAATCCTCCTCTTACCTGGATTAAACAGAATGATTGCCCTCAGGCAGCCAAGCTCTGTCTTGTCCATCCTCATGTCACGCATTTTGGACACTAGCTCTGTCAGCACCCTGGAGAGGGACCTGCAGGTCACTCAAAGGTCACAGCTCAGCCAGCCTTGGACACGGACCAGCCTATAGCCCCACCCCCTCTATCTACATGCCAGCCTAGCCGAGGGCCACTGACCGATCAAAGATGGCTCCTACTCCTGCTGAATGGGCTGAGTTGCGGTGCACGTGAAGACCTGTGGCAAGGAGGATGCCATCTCGAACATCAATGGATCGGTGTGAGAAGGAGGCAATGAGGAGTTCATTCCAGCCTGGGTGGGGCAGCAAGGGTCAGGAGCCAGAAATCAGGCCAAGGGATTCAAAGCACATCAGTGGAAGAGAAGGAGAAAAGAGGTGGCGAGGTCAGCAAGTTTGGCTCCCTGGGTACGCAAGGTAAGGCCACTGGGGTCACTAAAGATCGGGAAGTCAAAGAGGGGTCAAATGTCAAGAAGTCAAAGGGATCCAAGGTCACTGACCTGCCCGCAGCAATATGACCTGATCATCCAGAGGCAAGGAGGAAAAGTGTGGGATCCTCTTCGCCCACTCAACAAGCGTGAATAGCTGTTTGTCAGCTGCCTGACAGATGTTAGTCACAGGGTCATTTGGCTGCAGGGGACGGGGGTAAGAGTTATGGAAGATTTTGAGATATGCTGGGAGCCCCCTTGTAAGAGGCTTTTGACACCCCCTCCTTACATATAGTCTTCCTGTGAGCCCCATCCAAACCAATCCCTGTAAGTGAGTCTTCTCTTCTGGCATTAGTGCAAACAATTATTTATTTGGGACATGCCTATGGTTCTGCCAGTGGGTTGTTTGGGGAGTGGAGACAGAAGGAGCTATCACATCCACCTCAGATGTTTGAAAGACCTTGTTTGGCAGCACCTCCAGTCCCAAGTAGTGTTAGGAAGGTTATGAGGGGAAAGGAGGGGGAGGGGATGTAGAACAGACCTAGACTGCCTCCCCCAACCCCCATCACGAAGGAGAGTGGATTGACCCCAACACTCACGCTGCTGCCGCTACCCCCGGTTCCCCCAGGACCCTCAACGCCCTGGTCACTCTTCTGTTCCACAGCAAGCTCTGCCTCCAGGATCCTGTCCACAGGCATCTCCTCGGGGGCTCCCCCAGCCCCCTCCCCATCCCCATCCTTGTCCTTTCCCCGCTGACGCTCCTCCTGTACCGCTGCAGGGGGAAGGGGGAGAGAAAAAATGGAAAGTCAGCAGCCAGCCATGAAGGGGTTCCACAAATATCCTTACGGCCTCATCAGGATCTCATGGCCCTTGGGAGATATTTATAGGAATTGGGGAAGTCACTAGAAAGGGTGGACTGGGGGCAGCCCTGAAGGAAGGGTTATAAAAGGGCAGGTAAGTCAGTCGGGAAGGGTGAGGTAGGTAAAAGAATTAGGGAGGAATTTAAATGGAGAGCCTACTACATGGTTAAAAAAAACATGCCAAGATTCAACCTGAGAAAGCTGATTGAAAAAAAAAATTTTTTTAAATAAAATATGCCAAGAAACATGCTAAGCACATTTTACCATTCACTCAATTATCATAATGATGCTGGAAGCATTTATTCTCATTTTTAAGATGAAGAACTCGGGGTTCAAAGAGATTAGTTTGCTTAAATTCATATAATACATGGCAGGTCATACAACTGACTCTAAGTGTGTCTGAGTGCAAATCTTGTGCTCTTCTGACTCAACAAATAGGCAGTGAAAGGAGCACTGGCCTAGGTCTTTGAAGATGTGGGTTCTGATCCCAAACCTGCCTGCCACTCCTTTGTTGCATGACCTTGGGAAAGCCAAGCCTCAGGCTCATCTTCTCTAAAGTGGGTGTTTTGACCAAGATATGCTCTAAAGTGTCTCTCAGAATCCTAGGAATCTGACTTAAGAAGATAAGATGGAGACACAGAAGAAGGAAGGGAAGCCCTGAGGTCTTCAGTAAAGTCTGTAAGCTTAAGAGTGCCCAGTCCCAGGAGTTAGAGGAAAGATCACAGATAACAGGAGACAGAGACCAGAGAAGGTCCATGGAATCAGAGGAGGAACCACTCAGGTTAGAAATGGGGAGACAGCCCATCATGGCTAAGGAAAAGTTATCCTATCCTAGGATCAGTCTAGGGAGGGGTCATATGTGCAGGCCACAGAGGCCTAACCATTAAGAAGGAAACTCAAGGGCCAGAACAGGGTAACAGGGAGGAGAGCTGCGAAGGGAGAGAGAAATCAAATATCGCCCTCTAGAGGAGAGAGAGCAGTCCACCCTTCCAGAGAGGTACACAGTCTGAGTGGGATAAGGGAGAAGGGCATGTGGTCTAAGACGCCTGGGCAGGGCGGGTCCTTACCCTCCCTCTTCATGCCAGTGGCCAGGCACTTCTGATAGCGGCAGTACTGACAGCGGTTCCGCTGGCGCTTGTCCACTGTGCAGTCTTTGTTGTCCCGGCAAGAGTATGTAAGGTCTTTGCGGATGGTGCGTTTGAAGAAGCCCTTGCAACCCTCACAGCTGTAAACCCCGTAGTGTTTGCCTACAGGGAAAGGGGAGGAGCAATAAGAAGGTTGCATGGAGACACCTTCACCATTTAGTCTGTTTCCAATCTCCCCCTAGCAAAACTTAAAGTCCTCCCTGTTTGCCAAATACAGAGATAGGGAACCAGGAGCTGAGTGATGATCCAGTCCCAGTCTCCTCACTGTTCAGAAACCCTACACGCTGCTTCCTTTTCCCTCTGACCTTCCCCCCAATCGCGTCCTACATCTCAGCTTCAGCTTCTTTACTCCCATCAGGCCTCCCCCAGGTCACTTGCTCTGACCAAACTCCATAAGCCCTGGGAATCCCACAGGTGATGATACATGGCCCAGACTCTCCCTCTCTGTTCATCCTCTGAGCCACATACCTGAGCTTCTGTCCCCGCAGATTGCACATAGCCGTTTGCCAGCCCCAGGGCCACCTGGAGGGGGTGGACAGTGCAGGCCCCGGACCCCTAAGACTGGTGGCTTCACATCTTCAGGGGGGCCAGACCCACCCCCAGGGAGTGACACTGTTGAGTTAATCTGGGATGGGGGAAATAGGGAAGTCACAGGAAGACTTATTGGGAAGCAGAATGTCACAGAAGTGATGGAAATCATTCCCTACCACTAAGCAAGGCCCTGCAATGCACATTCCAGAGGCTGTCATTTACACTGCAGTCTATGTGAAAGGCCATCCCTGGAGCACAACCCCAAAGTGAATAAACAGGCCCCCCCTGAAATTGTGCAACACAGTGACCCTGAAGGGCAGGTGTCTTGGGAAAGCAGATGGGATCAAAAGGGCAGAAAATCAGATAGATGAAAAGGACATCAAGAATATCAGAATTAGCCGGGCGTGGTGGTAGGCACCTGTAATCCCAGCTACTCAGGAGGCTGAGGCAGGAGAATTGCTTGAACCCAGGAGGCAGAGGTTGCAGTGAGCTGAGATTGTGCCACTGCACTCCAGCCTGGGCAACAGAGCAAGACTCCATCTCAAAAAAAAAAAAAAAAAAAAACACACACACACACACAAAAACAAAGAATATTAGAGTTCTTTTAGGGGAGGAAGCATGCACTGAAAGATCAGTCACCTCAGGAAAGGCAAGGGGTCTCATAAAGACCACAGGCCTGACAAGGTTAGAGGATTGGAAGGTCAATGGGCCATGGGGAAGTTCACACAAGGATCTGGGGTTACAAGGAAAACAAGAAAATGAAAGTGGCCAGGCAGTAAGTTGGTCACAACCTCTCACCTGGGGGCTGCTGACAGGCCCGGAGAATCCTGGGGGAGCTGGAGGGGGCAGACCAGGGGACCCCATGGAAGAACTGATGACTGGAAAGGGAGAGCCCAGTGGGGGTGGTGGCATCGGGGGTGGGGGTGGGGCCCCAGAGCCTCCAAGGGATGGAGCTGTTGAAGGGGGTAGGGGTGGCCCAGGAGGAGAAGGGGGAGGGACTCCCTGGGGAAGGGGATTTGGGGAGGAGCTGTCTGGGCTTCGGGAGTCTGAGGGAGGGGTAT
The DNA here is from genome assembly GCF_000001405.40 of Homo sapiens. Lineage (NCBI taxonomy): Eukaryota > Metazoa > Chordata > Mammalia > Primates > Hominidae > Homo > Homo sapiens. The sequence continues at coordinate 4,442,931 of NT_167245.2, forward strand.
GTACAGGCACACAGACACACAAGAGACAGAAGAGACAAAAAAAGAAAATGAGTCTTCAAACATCCAACTAGAGACTTTAATTCTCTAATACCCCACCGTGCCGGACCCAGCCCACTCCACCCATCCCCAAGTTCAGAGACACCCTGCTGTCAAACAACAGTGTAACTCCGGCTGGTCCGATGGTAGTGGGTTATCAGAACTTATTAACATTTGTGTCACTAAAATTGGTATACAACCTCCCACTGCTATATTTGACTGGCTAAAAAAACCCAAAAACAGCGTAACTCCTCATTGTGGTGAGAGGAGGGAGTTGACAAGGAGAGGAGGATAGTTCAGGTGAGGAAAATTTTCCAACCAATCCATTTGAATGAATACCAGGTCATCCCAAAGCCACACCTGTCTCGTGGGTGGGGCAGCACGTGGGGTAGACCATCGAGCCCCTCTATTCCCAGCGTAAAGCCAGGTAGCCAGAGCGTGCAAGGGAAAGAGACAGGCAGGAGAGACCCCTCCTAAGACGCAGGATCTGCCTGTAAACGCCCAAAGTCCTGAGGTTTAAGAGGAATCGTGCCCTTCCCAGGCCCGCGACCTCCGGTGCCCAAGGCCTCAAGCGGTCACAGCTAGGAGGGCGGAAGCTCCCCTTCCCCGCCCCGCCCCGGGGGGGAGGGTGCTAAGGCCCTCGGGAGGGAGGGGACGCGTGTTTACAAACAAGGGGGCGGGAGCGCAAGGAAAAGAGCACCGGGGGAGGGTGTGGGGGAGGGGTCGCAGATAAAGCGGTCACTGGCTCGCCTGCCCTTCTGCTGGGGCACTCACCCCGCCCGCTGTCGCCCATCCCGTCCCGTCCAGCCTCCCCTGGCTCCGGCTCCGGGGTTTGTTGTTCTCCGCCTGCCACCGCCGCCGCCGCCGCCGCTGCGGGATCCAGCCAGGGCCGTCGCCGCCGCCACCGGGACGCGACCCCACAATGCATTTCTTTTCGCACCCCCACCGGCCCACACTGCCCTGCGGCATGCCGCTGAGGGAGGAAGGGCGGGCGAGCGGCCCAAGACATGATCCCTGGCTGAGAGTAGGGATACCGAAGAGGTCCCAGGGATTCCCAAGGATTGATCGGAGGATTAGCTGAGCACGAGGAAGCCCCTGAGAGAAAGACTCTGGCCTGGATTGGGTCGAATTAAGCCCGTCGCTCTGCTCAGTACCAAAATGACAGCGCCAATGTGGCAGCCATCTTTGTACAGACGGGAAGTCTCGGCGCGAGTTCCCGCCCCCTCGTCTAGTTGGAAACCGAGGAGGCGGTCTCCTCCGGCCTGTTAGCCCGCCTCGCCCACCCTCCCCTCAAATCACCTCCACACTCGCGCATGCGTGTCAGTGCAGGATGGATTCGTCGCTACCGGAGTGCCGCCATATTGGTAAAGGCATTAGGGCGAAGGTGGAACGGAACTTCCTGTTCTCGCGGGATCTAAAGGCGGGACTGCCACGTCCAAGCAAACCGGGAAAGGAGAGGATCCCGGAGCCGGTGAGAATTCTCTGTTTTTTCTCTACCATCCTTTCCAGGCCTTTTCCTCACCTAATGAGTCGTAGAGACGAGGGCCCAGAGAGTCTGTAAAGTGGCTGGTGAAAGATTAGTGTCCCAGGGCCCTACATCCGGGAGGTGGTTCGGGATAAAGAGAACTAGTCTTGGGAACAATGTAGGTGGGAACTTAAGGGAATGGGAGAGCGGCCCATAGAGGTGGACGGAGGGCGCGATTGGAGTAAAGCGGACCCTGTGTAGGTATAGAGTTGAGTCAAGTGGAGTCACTGCCTCTGTCCCTCTGGTCAGCGTGATGGCCAGAGGCCTGGGGGCCCCCCACTGGGTGGCCGTGGGACTGCTGACCTGGGCGACCTTGGGGCTTCTGGTGGCTGGACTCGGGGGTCATGACGACCTGCACGACGATCTGCAAGAGGACTTCCATGGCCACAGCCACAGGCACTCACATGAAGATTTCCACCATGGCCACAGCCATGCCCATGGCCATGGCCACACTCACGAGAGCATCTGGCATGGACATACCCACGATCACGACCATGGACATTCACATGAGGATTTACACCATGGCCATAGCCATGGCTACTCCCATGAGAGCCTCTACCACAGAGGACATGGACATGACCATGAGCATAGCCATGGAGGCTATGGGGAGTCTGGGGCTCCAGGCATCAAGCAGGACCTGGATGCTGTCACTCTCTGGGCTTATGTGAGTCTCCAGGGGATGGGAGAGAGAAGGGCTGGTTCTGGATTGTTGGGAAACTCCACAGTACTTGACCTTGACTCTCCCTCACCAGGCACTGGGGGCCACAGTGCTGATCTCAGCAGCTCCATTTTTTGTCCTCTTCCTTATCCCCGTGGAGTCGAACTCTCCCCGGCATCGCTCTCTACTTCAGATCTTGCTCAGTTTTGCTTCCGGTGGGCTCCTGGGAGATGCTTTCCTGCACCTCATTCCTCATGCTCTTGGTAAGTAACCTCTGACTTCTACCTCAAATCTAACCTATTTCGTTCTTTGGAGGAAAAGGGTTCTTTCTCCTTTATGATCCCTGACCTTTCGATATTCCCCCAAATACACACTCATTGTGTCAGATATTCCCTCATCTGGTTTTCCCCCCTTCTTCCAGAACCTCATTCTCACCACACTCTGGAGCAACCCGGACATGGACACTCCCACAGTGGTGAGGAAGAGACAGATGGGGATGGGAGTTGGGGTGCTGGGGAAGGTCCGTCTCTCCCTATTCCTCACCTCCCGCACTTGAGGAGGAGGAGTCTGGAATGCACATCTCCCTTAATGTCTCAATGCCTCCATTCCCAGGCCAGGGCCCCATTCTGTCTGTGGGACTGTGGGTTCTCAGTGGAATTGTTGCCTTTCTTGTCGTGGAGAAATTTGTGAGACATGTGAAAGGAGGACATGGTCACAGTCATGGACATGGACACGCTCACAGTCATACACGTGGAAGTCATGGACATGGAAGACAAGGTGAGCCCAGGAACAACTTTCCTGAAAGCTGACTTGCCTGCCTCAGAATCTCCTCATCTTATGGCCCTCAGGAGGGAGAGGACATGTTGGAAGATCTGTTCTCCACTCTGACCAACTCTTTTCTTCCCTCAGAGCGTTCTACCAAGGAGAAGCAGAGCTCAGAGGAAGAAGAAAAGGAAACAAGAGGGGTTCAGAAGAGGCGAGGAGGGAGCACAGTACCCAAAGATGGGCCAGTGAGACCTCAGAACGCTGAAGAAGAAAAAAGAGGCTTAGGTAAGGGCCAGAGTTGGTGATAAATTTGGGCAAGGGACATCATCACAAATCACATGGAATATGTGCTGTGGGTAATGGCAGGTATCTGAGAAACACTAAAGGACTGGGTGTAAAGTGGTCTCTGAGGGGAGGTGTGAGAATAGCTGACCAAGACTGGAACAAGTGGTGATGGAAGCCTCTGATCATTTTCTCTTCTTGTCCTGTACAAGACCTGCGTGTGTCGGGGTACCTGAATCTGGCTGCTGACTTGGCACACAACTTCACTGATGGTCTGGCCATTGGGGCTTCCTTTCGAGGGGGCCGGGGACTAGGGATCCTGACCACAATGACTGTCCTGCTACATGAAGTGCCCCACGAGGTCGGAGACTTTGCCATCTTGGTCCAGTCTGGCTGCAGCAAAAAGCAGGTTGGTGATGTCTGCCAAACACAGCTGCCTCAAACCCTTTATCTCTCCTCACTCACCCTAAACCCAAACAGCCTCTTATTAGTTCCAAACAATTCATACTGTCATTGACAAGTCCTCTAGAAATGAGGGGGAAGAAGTTCTGGTTACTTTGTCCTTTAGCTCAGTATTTCTTAAACTGGTCTATAAACCATCTGAATGGTTTAGTGGAGTCTTACACACACACGCCTACTCAATCAGAAAGTCTGTGGAAAGGACCTCTGATCTCTTAAGATTTTTCAGAAATTGTCTATTCTAGACTGCTCCCTCTTCTCTTTTTATTTTGATGTTTAGTTTCCAAATCCATGTCCCCTATACCTATACCCCACCAGCCACTTCTAAACCACTGATAATCTTTAGCTATTGGTGAGTGCCTTTTTCTCTTTTCTGCCCATCAGGCGATGCGTCTGCAACTACTGACAGCAGTAGGGGCACTGGCAGGCACAGCCTGTGCCCTTCTCACTGAAGGAGGAGCAGTGGGCAGTGAAATTGCAGGTGGTGCAGGTCCTGGCTGGGTCCTGCCATTTACTGCAGGTGGCTTTATCTACGTAGCAACAGTGTCTGTGTTGCCCGAGCTGCTGAGGGAGGCATCACCATTGCAATCACTTCTGGAGGTGCTGGGGCTGCTGGGGGGAGTTATCATGATGGTGCTGATTGCCCACCTTGAGTGAGGGGTGGATAAACTACCCCTGCCCCAAACCTCTACCCCTAACTCCAGGTCAGGGGTGCGTAGAGGTTGGGGGCCCTGGCCAGGGACATCTGCCAAAGGAAGGAACTGTAGCCTGGGAGAATGGTTACTTTGGCATTAGGGCCTTCAAGGGCTGGCAGTCTTACAGAGGCTGGAGCGGTGAGAATGAGAGGCCAGAGGGACCATAGTGTTGGGCACTGTCTGACCATGTTGCATTTGGAAGGCTAAATGGGGCCATGAAGAAGGCTGGAAGGGACAGGGGGTGATGGCAGCCTACCTGGTGTCCCCTACCCCACCTGTTCTCGGAGAACCAAGTTGCTACACAGGAAGTTCTCCAAGGTCCAGTTTCCTTTCTCCCACCAGTTGGTGGAGGCTTCAGGGAAGACCAGAGTCCTGGACAGAGAGGGTAACAGGAGGAGTCGGGGATAAACATCAAACATCAATCGTGTGTCCTGATTTGGGAGTGATTGGGGGGATGGGGTGGGAGAGGGTTAGTTGGTATTCTCATGGCCTGATTTTTTTTGTTTCTATTCCTTTTATATCACTGTGTTTGAATCGAGGGGGAGGGGTGGTAACCGGAAATAAAGACCTCCGATCTTCCGCCCCACATGCAGTCTTTGTCTTTTTGGGGGGAATGGGGCCCCTTGTCTTCTCCACACCCGGGGCCCCTAAGCAGCAGTGTCGGGCCACGCCCCCTCGGTGGGAGGTCGGCCTGCGCTGGTGGCCGCAGATGGCCTAAGGCTGGCGGGCCTTTGATTGGCCCCGGCTTTGCCCTTGCCACGCCCCTCTGCGCTGGGATTGGCTTAGTGCTGGGATTCCCACCCACCCACAGCCCGCCATGGCGTCTCAGCTCCAGAACCGACTCCGCTCCGCACTGGCCTTGGTCACAGGTTGAGGGGGTTCTTTCCCCGGGCGGTTTGGGGTATTGGAGTGAGGTCAGGGGCGTGCCCTTGGAGTGCGCGGCCGCTGTGACCTCTGGCCCCTTACCCACATTTTACTTTCTGCCCTGTGACCTCTGATCCCTGCCCTCTCCTCCCCGTGCCCGGTCCGGCGTGTTCTGTCCTACCTCAGGTGCGGGGAGCGGCATCGGCCGAGCGGTCAGTGTACGCCTGGCCGGAGAGGGGGCCACCGTAGCTGCCTGCGACCTGGACCGGGCAGCGGCACAGGAGACGGTGCGGCTGCTGGGCGGGCCAGGGAGCAAGGAGGGGCCGCCCCGAGGGAACCATGCTGCCTTCCAGGCTGACGTGTCTGAGGCCAGGGCCGCCAGGTGCCTGCTGGAACAAGTGCAGGTGAACGCTAGGCCACTTTCCCCCTCTAAAGCTCTGATATTGCCTCCACTGCCCCGGCTTTTTGTGGGGGGTTTTTGATGCGTAACCTCCCCCTCCCATAGGCCTGCTTTTCTCGCCCACCATCTGTCGTTGTGTCCTGTGCGGGCATCACCCAGGATGAGTTTCTGCTGCACATGTCTGAGGATGACTGGGACAAAGTCATAGCTGTCAACCTCAAGGTGGCGATCTCTGAACCTGCGACGTTTGGCCCCCTTAGCCTGGGGAGGGAGTTGGAGGAGGGCTGTCACCCCAGCTGATCTTTTCTCCCTTGTTACCCTTTCCCGCCAGGGCACCTTCCTAGTCACTCAGGCTGCAGCACAAGCCCTGGTGTCCAATGGTTGTCGTGGTTCCATCATCAACATCAGTAGCATCGTAGGAAAGGTCAGGTTGAGTTGGACGAGGTCAGCCAGCCAAGTGGTATAGAGAGGAGAACCCCTCCTTGAGACTCCTGACTCATTCCACATCTCTGACTCACCTATAGGTGGGGAACGTGGGGCAGACAAACTATGCAGCATCCAAGGCTGGAGTGATTGGGCTGACCCAGACCGCAGCCCGGGAGCTTGGACGGTTGGTCAGATGCTTGAGGGTGCTGGGGAGCACCTGGGGGGTCTGAGGGAGGTACCAGCATTCAGCCCTCTCCAGAATCGGCAGCCACTCTCCTTCCCACAGACATGGGATCCGCTGTAACTCTGTCCTCCCAGGGTTCATTGCAACACCCATGACACAGAAAGTGCCACAGAAAGTGGTGGACAAGGTAGGAGGCTGTGGGTGGAGGGCAGAATCATTCAGAGACTCAATCTCTCTGGGCTTCACAGAGAGAGAGAGAGAGAGAGAGAGAGAATACTGGGCACAGTTCCTGGCAAACATTAAATATTCAATGAATGTATGAGAAATGAAGACAAAAAAGGGTCACAGACTCAGTCTTCAAAAAAATCCATAAAAGAAGCTTTCACCCACATGAGTATTTCCTTACAGATTACTGAAATGATCCCGATGGGACACTTGGGGGACCCTGAGGGTGAGCACTGAATGTAGTGGGGTCCCTGGGAAGGGGGCCTGAATGAAGAGATCCCCAAAGTTTGGGGATTTTCTAGGGGACTGGTGGTTGGTGTCTGTGGAGAGGTTTGTGGGGAGGGATGTCTTTGGTGGGAGATTATGGCTGTTTTGGGTCTATGGGAGTGAGCAGAATTCTGCCCTCTCCCCACCATTCTCATAGATGTGGCAGATGTGGTCGCATTCTTGGCATCTGAAGATAGTGGATACATCACAGGGACCTCAGTGGAAGTCACTGGTATGAGGCCAGCATGGGGAGGGAGAGGGCAGAGAAGTAGAACCCAGACTATATGAGAAAGCAAGTAAGGGGAGTCTGGAGCCACTGGGAAGGGCAGAGGTTCCCAAGGCCAGGGACAGAAGTGGGTACCCCCTAGCCCATTTGTGTCTCCACCCATGCATCTGTCCAAATGTTTCTGCCCCTCCCAGGAGGTCTTTTCATGTAACTGCCTCAAGGACCCTGGACTCTGCTCACCCCCCCACCACTCTGCCTGGCCTCCTGCTGATGAGGACTCTAAGTTCCCAGGATACAAAAGGGGTGGCAGTGTATGGTTCAGGAATGCTGAATATGGGAAGCAGGGGTGCTTGTGACCCTAATAAATTCCAAGTCCTCTTCCCTGCCACCTCCGGCTCTTCTTGTGTCCAAGCCCTCAGACCCTTCCCCACCTCCCCCTCCTTTCCCTTTCCCGAAGGATTGTTCCCTTTCTCTGCCTGGTCTCCCAGGGCAACCCCCGCCGCCGGGTGTGAGAGGAAAGAGTATGTGTCACTGTGTATGCGTGACACTCCGGGTCTTTTTGAAGGGAGGGGTTCGTGCGTCACCCCTTTCCACTGGTTCTGCAGCACCAGTCCCCTCCCCCCAACTCCCTGGGTTCTTATGGTCCCCAAGGGTGATTTGTTCATGGCCCCATCTTGGTGTCCAGTCTGGCCTTGAAAGGGGGTCTTGGAACAGGTGGCCCTCCCCCACCCCTCTCCTTTCTCTGAGTCCCCCCCTCCCCTTTCTCTCCACCTTACAATAGCTGCAGCCGGCCTGGGGTCGGATGGGGGGGATTAGGGGAGGGGGCCAGGATTAGGGGAATGAACCAGCCGATGAAAGGGGCTGGAGAGAGCAGGAGGGAGGGGGCTGGGAAGAGGAGGAGGAAGGGGAGGGGGGTCTGCGCTAATCGACTCTGGCGCCCACATAAGGACTGGCCACGGACTGAAGGAGAGGACAGGGAAGTAGGGGGGAACTGGGGTGGGGGGCGAGGGCACCCACTGCTGCCTTGTCCCAGGGACAGGCCACCCCCTGGCAGCCGCAGCCCAAGTCCGGGAGCCTCAGCTCGGGCGGGGACAAGATGCCCATCAGGGTCTCTAACTGCCCCCCACCCCCTCGCCCTGTATCCCTCTCATTCCCTACACTCAATGGGGATCGCTCTGCCCCTTCCTCTTCTCTTTCCTCCCCATCCCCTTCGTTTACTCTAGAGTCCTCGAAGAGGCTTCTGCCCACTTCCCACTCCAGACATTCTGCCCCTGTGTACCCCACCCACACGCGCACCCCCCCTTCCCAATGGGAGCTCCATCTTGTGTATGTCCCTGTTTCCGCGTGGTGTCTCCATTCCCCCTTTCCTCCCGTGCGCCTCCCTCCCTTCCCCGCCCCGGGCCGCGGCTCCTGATTGTCCAAACGCAATTCTCGAGTCTATGGCTCCGGCCGAGAGTTGAGTCTGGACGTCCCGAGCCGCCGCCCCCAAACCTCGAGCGGGAGAGCGGGTCGGAGGGTCTAGGGAGAGCCAAAGCAGAGGGTGGAGGGAGTCCCCAGGGTGGTAAGGGGAATCCCGGGCACATCGGGACCTAGGTGTGTTCTCAGGACTAGAAGGCTAAAGCGGCAGATCTTTTGCAGCCTTTTCCCCCGGGATCCTGGAATGGGGGTTACGGAGAAGTGAGGGGGGTTGATCCCCAGAGTCGCCAGGGTACGCAGAGTGGGGGAGGTAGCCCTTTTCACGAGCCCTCTGTCCCCTCCTGGGGTCCCAGATATTCCAGGCCCCGGCCCCCCGGAGCTGAGGCCCCGCGTGGGGGCCTCTGGAAGGGAACCGAGGCTAAGGTTGTTGGCCGCGCGACGGTGCTGGGCCGGGGGCGGAGACCGTGGTTCCCTAAGTGGCGCAGAACTCCCGGGACGCAGGATCCTCACGCGGGACGAGCCCGTCCCGTGGGCGGGAGAACCGCGGCGTCCACGTCCCGTCCCACCCGCGCCGCGAATGGTGGGTGACGTCTCCGCCGGCGGGGGGAGCGGGTGTAGCGGAGGAGCAGGCGGAAGTGACGTAGGGCCCCAGCGCCCGGGCCATGGCGGCGGCGGTGGCGGGAGCTGCTGTCTGAGCAGCGGTTGCGGACCGAGCGAACTTGGCCCAGGAGCCCGGGCCTAGGGAGAGGCGCGGCGGCGGCGGGAGCGCGAACGGCTGGAGCTGGGTGAGGGGCAGTGCCGGCGCGGGGGCGGGAGCGGGGGCGGAGAGGGGCGCTTCTGGAGGGGCGGGGTCTACGCGAGGGGCGGCCCCCCTGACGCCCTCCTCCCCTTCCCCCCACCCCCAGCCTTCTTCGCCTTCTCCTCGGCTGTGGAGCCCTGGTGGGGGGTCTGCGCCCGGTCACCATGACGACGCCGGCGAATGCCCAGAATGCCAGCAAAACGTGGGAACTGAGTCTGTATGAGCTGCACCGGACCCCGCAGGTGACAGGCATTCTCCCTTTCAGGCTTACCCCCTCCCCCAAACCCTTATATCCACAGACCGCATCACACAGCTTCTTTTCCGTAATTTGCTCTATTCTGCCTTGCCTGGCCCTACCTTTGAATCACCTTAATCTTTCCAAAGCACTTTCGCATTTAGCTCATTTAATCCTCAAAACAGCCCTGCCAGAGAGGTGGAACAAGTATTATTATCTTCATTTGAAAGATCACAAACACAAAAATTACCTTCCCTGTTCCTCATTCAGTGTCATAAGTCAGTGCACATAAGACTCACTTTGGGAGTTTATTAAAAGCAGAGCTTCATGCCCCCCAACATTCTGATTCAGTAGTGAATTGGGTTCTCAGAATCTGAATTTTTAACAGGCACCCTATGGGGTTCTAATACAGGTAGCACCAGGACTTTAAAAAATTTTGTTGAATAGTTTTTCCCAACCACAGATTTGTGCCATCTTCACTCCTAGGCCACTTAGCCACCTCAGATCCTCCTATTCCAAAGCTCCTACTCTTAGTTAATGGACACTAAAGTCTGTCTTTTCTCCATTTGCTCCAAGTCATCAGTCCTTCTCTTTCTCAGAATTCTTGTCTCCTATAGAGACCAACATGGGTCTTCTCACTGTATTTCTCAAAATTCTTATTTTATGGGCTGCTGTTTCTAAAACCCCTTTCCCTCTAACCCACACCACCTTTCTACTCACTGATGCCTTCAGGAAGCCATAATGGATGGCACAGAGATTGCTGTTTCCCCTCGGTCACTGCATTCAGAACTCATGTGCCCTATCTGCCTGGACATGCTGAAGAATACGATGACCACCAAGGAGTGCCTCCACAGATTCTGCTCTGACTGCATTGTCACAGCCCTACGGAGCGGGTAATAGGAGAGACATGTTTGAGATGAGATGAAGGGGTACAAAGTTAGGGCCCTCTCACTGGTCTTGGTTCAGCCTAGGCTTCAGTTCCCTTGACTGACCACTCAGGGCTTCCCTTCTCCTACCCCAGGAACAAGGAGTGTCCTACCTGCCGAAAGAAGCTGGTGTCCAAGCGATCCCTACGGCCAGACCCCAACTTTGATGCCCTGATCTCTAAGATCTATCCTAGCCGGGAGGAATACGAGGCCCATCAAGACCGAGTGCTTATCCGCCTGAGCCGCCTGCACAACCAGCAGGCATTGAGCTCCAGCATTGAGGAGGGGCTACGCATGCAGGCCATGCACAGGTGTGAGGGTCAGGAGAGAAGCAGAACTGATGGGATGGGTCCGTGGGTCAGTCCTTGTTGCCTGCTAGCTTCTAAGCCTCAGCATCCTAGGAGCTGACCACAGACTGATCATTAGGGCTGGAAATCATGGGTGTAAATTGCAGTTTCTTAGTAAACAACTGGCCCTGCTCTTCTTAAGAAAAATATAGGGCTGGGCACAGTGACTCACATCTGTAATCCCAGCACTTTGGGAGGTGAGGATGGGAGGATCACTTGAGCCCAGGAGTTTGAGACCACCTTGAATAACATAGGGAAATCTCATCTCTACAACAAATTAAACATTTAGCTGGGCATGGTGGCACATGCCTGTAGTCCTACCTTCTTGGGAGGCTGAGGTAATAGGATCACTTGAGCCTGGGAAGAAAGTGGATGTTGCAGTGAACCATGATCACACCACTGCACACTGCACTCCAGCCTGCTGGGCGACAGAACAAGGCCCTGTCACAAAAAAAAAAAAAGGAAAAATGTAGTTTACCCCATGACTTTCTAGAAGTTAGAACAGTAGAGCGATTTTGAGAATAAGCCCCGGATTCATACTGCTGGAAGTTAAATCACCTCCTAGGCCAGCATCTCTCAGTCTTTCATGTGTATCCAGATTACCTGTAGATCTTCAGATGCAAACTGTGATTCAGTAGGTCTAGAGTTGGGCCCGAGAGTCTGCATTTCACAAGCTCACAGGGGATGTGTATGCTGCTACCGCACTTTGAGAGGTGACAGCCTATGATCACTAACAAGTTACTTAACCTCTCTAAGCCTCAGTTTCCTCAGCCATAAAATAGAGGTAATATAATTACCTGTGTCATAGGATTCATTGTATTAGGTAAGGGGATTGGTGCAAAACACTTAGTATACTGAGTGCTTAGCACATTGTGTTTAATAAATATTAGGTATCGTCATTAGGATTTTTCTTATCTCTTAATTCTCTGAAGTTTAAAGTCTAAGCCCTTTATCCTGGATGCCTTCTAACCTTAACCACTTGCTTCTACAGGGCCCAGCGTGTGAGGCGGCCGATACCAGGGTCAGATCAGACCACAACGATGAGTGGGGGGGAAGGAGAGCCCGGGGAGGGAGAAGGGGATGGAGAAGATGTGAGCTCAGACTCCGCCCCTGACTCTGCCCCAGGCCCTGCTCCCAAGCGACCCCGTGGAGGGGGCGCAGGGGGGAGCAGTGTAGGGACAGGGGGAGGCGGCACTGGTGGGGTGGGTGGGGGTGCCGGTTCGGAAGACTCTGGTGACCGGGGAGGGACTCTGGGAGGGGGAACGCTGGGCCCCCCAAGCCCTCCTGGGGCCCCCAGCCCCCCAGAGCCAGGTGGAGAAATTGAGCTCGTGTTCCGGCCCCACCCCCTGCTCGTGGAGAAGGGAGAATACTGCCAGACGAGGTGAGGAGCCCTGTCTTTCCCCAGCCACTGAGAAACCAAAGATCACCTAGATTTCCATCAGAAGTGGGCTTTGCCCAAACCCAAAATACCACCCCAACCCAGAATCCATTTTGGAAAGCCCCTACCTCCAGTCCTCATCTGAGGCGCTCTGGCTCTAAGCCTGTCCTCCCTCCCATTCCAGGTATGTGAAGACAACTGGGAATGCCACAGTGGACCACCTCTCCAAGTACTTGGCCCTGCGCATTGCCCTCGAGCGGAGGCAACAGCAGGAAGCAGGGGAGCCAGGAGGGCCTGGAGGGGGCGCCTCTGACACCGGAGGACCTGATGGGTGTGGCGGGGAGGGTGGGGGTGCCGGAGGAGGTGACGGTCCTGAGGAGCCTGCTTTGCCCAGCCTGGAGGGCGTCAGTGAAAAGCAGTACACCATCTACATCGCACCTGGAGGCGGGGCGTTCACGGTGAGAGCTTCTGAGGGCAGTGGTAGAAGAGGGGAGAGGAGGGAGGGTGGTCTGGGCCACATAGAACCATGAGCCTGGTCTAACTCATCAGCACTCTTCCCCTATACATCCTCTATCTCTTTCTATGTCCCCTCTCCTTTCCCATCATCCATGTCCTTTTTTGCCTTATCGCTTTTATTATTCCTTTTTTCTTTCCTCCTCCCTTGGTCACCTTTTGCCTCTCATTCATTTCCTTTTCCATCTTCTCCAACTTTCCTCTCTCTTTTCCCCTCTCTCCCTTTTACCCCCTCCTCAGACGTTGAATGGCTCGCTGACCCTGGAGCTGGTGAATGAGAAATTCTGGAAGGTGTCCCGGCCACTGGAGCTGTGCTATGCTCCCACCAAGGATCCAAAGTGACCCCACCAGGGGACAGCCAGAGGAAGGGGACCATGGGGTATCCCTGTGTCCTGGTCTATCACCCCAGCTTCTTTGTCCCCCAGTACCCCCAGCCCAGCCAGCCAATAAGAGGACACAAATGAGGACACGTGGCTTTTATACAAAGTATCTATATGAGATTCTTCTATATTGTACAGAGTGGGGCAAAACACGCCCCCATCTGCTGCCTTTTCTATTGCCCTGCAACGTCCCATCTATACGAGGTGTTGGAGAAGGTGAAGAACCCTCCCATTCACGCCCGCCTACCAACAACAAACGTGCTTTTTTCCTCTTTGAAACCTGCAGTTCTGTGTGTCTGTTTATCAGGGGTGTACAAGAAAAAGAAAGGAAAATAGATTGGGGAGGGAGGCCTAGAAATAATGTAAAATCAGCCTTGGAAATGGGGAGAAAATGTCGGGTTATTCGAGATATGTCGTCGGAAACTCCAAATTAGCAAATATGTATGAAAATAGGAACCATCTATGAAGCTGGAAGAGAGGATAAAAAACAGAGGTGCCAAGTTAGACCCCAAACTTTCCCCCCTAAAACCTGAGTCGCCCAGGCTGAAATCCAGGGTTTCAACACCAAAGGGAAAGCAGGAAAATGGCTCAAAAGAGAAAGGGATGTGTGTAGATGTGGGAATGACCGTGATGTTTGGAAGTCACTGCGAGCAGCCGGTTTCTATAGCTGGAAAGAGGGAGGGAGGTGGAGAGGACTGCGGAGAAGCTCCCTGTTCGACATCCCAGTCCCCGGGCCACCTCCCAAAAAAGGGCAGGCTGGGCTGCAGACTCGGAGTGTGAGTGCACAGCCTTTGCCCGCCGGGCAGCGGGGCTGAGCGGAGGGAGGGTCGCCTGGGAACACTAGTTCTGTGCTCGTCCAGGCAGCGGCTGAGAGCAGAGGAGTGGGGGCATCAAGGAAAGCCGCGGCTGCCTTACTGGCCTCGAGTTCCGCGAGCGGGGCTGGGCACCAAGCCTGAGGCTGGGGGGACAGGGGCGCACGACTGCACTCCCGGTCCGGGGCAGTGCAGGTATTCGGGGAAGAGGAATCGCCTCTCCAGAACCGACTGCTGTTCCTTCCACCACCCGTAACCTCTCTGCCCCTCACTTCCTGTTTCCTCTGCTCTGGGTACCCCCAGCCCCTCTGGCCCCAAATTCCTCCCCCATGCTCAGTTCTCTGTCTCACTGGCAGAGGAGCCGGCCGTGTTTCCCCCTAAAGCCCGCTTGGCCCTCCCAGTTCCGCAGCTGCGCGGCCCGCCCGCCGATCCCATGGCTCCCTTCTCCACCCTTGGGATTTCTCGTTTGTTCGCCTCCTCTCCGGTACCCTCAATCCCGTAGATGCAGGTGGGCATCCTCCAGCCCCAGCAAGTACTGCGGACCAGTTGGGCTGGCTGGCCCCTTTCCTGCAGAAGCAGACAACACCCACTTCTACCCTCGTAGGAGCCCCTTTCTACACTCACTTCCCTGGAACCCGTGATCCTGACTCCCCTCCTCCCGGACCCCAAGCATCCAGGACGTGTACGGTATAAGGGGAAGTTGTAGTGGGAGGCAGGTGGGCGTTGTTCCTGGAGTTTCAGGGTAGAGAAGCAGGTGGGGAGGAGTTGGGTGAGATACAGAGGTGGAAGCCAAAAGTCTGGAGTTAACCTGACTTCTCTTCTGGCTCCAGGGGCTGCCGGGATCGTCTGTCCTCACCCTCCTTGTCCTCCCCAGCCCTAACCACCCGGCAGCCTCTTCTCTGTCTCTGCTGCCCGTCCTGCCTTCACTCTGAAACAGCCTGCCCCCTCCCGGGTCCCCAGTCCTCACCTTTGCCCCACACGCCCCCCTCTCTATTTATCACATTTCCTTTCGTGTCCCCCTAACCCCATCGCTTGGTGCGAGTGCTCTCTTGCCCTCCTCTCCCCATGACTGAACCTCACAGACATGGCTGTTTATTTAGGTGACACCATGTGGGAGACACAGAGGAACCCATTTCCATCCTGGCTCCACTGGGGCATTTCCTTTCCAAGTCCTTCAGTCCCTCCCAACCAAGCCTATGTTACTGGGTCAGGCAAGGTGAGAGATATAAAGTATGCAAAAGAAAACGTTACTATTTTGTTGAGGAACAAGATACATGTGGAATAGTTGACAATGCAGAGGAACAGGGTAGAGGAAGGAGGGTTGATACAGTATTAGAGTCAGACAAACGTGGGTTCAAATCGGCTCTGCCACTTACAAACTGAGCCACCTTGCACAAGGCACTGGGTCTTCCCTCTGTTTCTTCACCTGCAAAATGGGGGAGAGTAACAGGTTGCCCTGAGAATTGAGAGATAATACAAGTAAAGTTACACGCCTAACAGATCAGTGGCTCTCCCAGTGTGGATCCCAGACTAGCAGCATCAGCATCGCCTGGGAACTTGTTAGAAATGCAAATTCTTGGGCCCCACCCCAGATCTGCTGTTTAAGAAACTGGAGATGGGGCCAGCAATTGCATTTTCCCAAGCCCCCAAGTGCTTCTGATGTTCACACAAGGCTGAGGACACTGAAGAAGATGCCCCACAAAATGTTACGGCCTTGCCTTATACTATAAAGAATGGCAAAGGGCCCGTGTAGGGGTGCTCTGTGACTCCCAAGCAGGAGGATCACTGCAGGCCAGTAGGGAGGTGAGGAGCGGCCTCACAGAGGAGGTGGGACTGGGCTGGGGAAGGAAACAGAGAAGCCTTTCTGCAGTGGGTGAGGGAGATGGGGGGAAGCTCCCTCTCCCTTACCCTACCTACCACCCAGCACGATTTTACCTCTCAGGCTTCTCAGTCTCCAAAGCAGAGCAGACCATGTATCTGAACGCGGAAGCTGAGCTCTGGAGCCCAGAGCCTCAGGGCCCTGAGGGAAGGTTCCCCCAGGAGACCCCTGCCCAGGCAAGGCCTAACTCTGAGGGCCCTGTCCTTGCCTGGCAGCCCTCAACACCCTGGGAAGCTGCTCACAGGAGGCTGTGCTCTGGGCTTCTCCACCTTCACAGTCCACCTCAGCGAGGAGGGAGGTGCCGCTGAAACCGCCAACCACTTCTTCAGTTGGGTGTGGGGCTTAGCCTCTCCTCTCCCACCTCTGTCTCCTCTGCTTCCTCCTCCCCCATGCTGCTCTCACCTCTCTCCCCTCTCCCTGCAGGCTGGGAGCAAAGGGAGAGGAGGAGGAGAAGAGAGGACAGACCCAGCCCTCTACCTACTATGGCACTCCTTTACCTGCCAGCTGTCACAACCAACCCTTCCCCAACTCCCCTACCCGGGACCCCCATCTCCACCCACAAATCCACTCAAATTTCCTGCCTGGAATGTGGAGTCTCTTCCCACTGCTCTCACCTCTCTCAGCACAGCCTGGGCAAGGGGCCCTTCTCCTCCCCCTAATATAGGAAGTACTTCAGCCAAGGGGCCCACCTGACCCTGTGCGAACACTTTCACACAGGTGATAGGCCCTACTCCTGCAGAAAGTGTGGCCACAGCTCTTGCCACAGCTCACACCTGGCCCAGCACTGCGGCACACACCTGCCTGAACCCAATCACTGCCACCAGTGTGGCAAGGGCCTCTCCCCAAGGCTCCAGCCCGTTGCAGCCTGCCACTCTACACACAGGCAAGCAGCCTTACGTCTGTGCCACCTAAGCCTTCTTGTGGTAGATGAGGGTGCTGGCCCCCACTCCAACCTGCAACACCAGCAGCAGAACCATACCTGGGGGCGTCCCCATCACAGTGACCAGTGAGGCAAGGGCTATGGACATTGCTCAGGGCTGGTGCAGCACCAGCAAGTCTGCAGAAGCAAAGGCTGCAGGCATGGTTTCTGATACAGCCCCAGGCTGGTGCAGCATCACCAGGGCCACATCAGGGACAGGCTCTACTGCTTGCCTCTGTGGCTGTGGTTTCACTTGGAACACCCACCTGCCATGACACCAGGCCTCATATGTGGAGAGGAATGAGATGAACACAGTGGGGAGGCAGGGAATCAGAGCCCCTGTGGCTGCATCACCGCCCCCAATCTGCAGCGCTCTATGAGGGTGGCAGGGCAGCCTCAGAGACAGACTTCCTCCACCTGTGGGAGGCATAACAGAGCAGAGATCCACCCACTCCCAGCCAGGGTGACCTTCAGAGCAACCATAAGGGGTAGCTCGAGTGTCTCGCCTGAACCCACTCAAAGCTGGAATGGCCAGGTCCACTTCACTCTAGACCAAAGTGCCAAGTCCTAAGGGAGCTCCCAAGCCAGGAACTTTTCTCTGGAGAAGAATCCATACTTCTCAGGGTCTTAAAAAATTTTGTTTTTTATATAAATAAGAGGTCCTGGGGCACTTTTCCATCTCCTGTCCTCCATCGGAGAAATTTCACTAGGCTGTCTCAGACGTGCTGTTGTCGTGGATGGATTAGACTCCTTGGGACTTTCTTGAAGGGTCATTTTAAAGTGATAGCTTAGGCTGGGCATGATGGCTCATGGCTGTAATTCCAACACTGTGGGAAGCCAAGGTAGGTGGATTACTTGAGGCCAGGAGTTCAAGACCAGCCTGACCAAACCTGGCAAAACCCTGGCTATACAAAAAACACAAAAATTAGCAAGGCGTGGTGGCCCATGCCTGTAATCCCAGCTACTCAGGAGGTTAAGGCATGAGAATCACTTGAACCTGGGAGGCGGAGTTTGCAGTGGCCGAGATCACGCCACTGCACTCCAGCCTGGGCGACAGAGTGAACCTCTATCTCAAAACAGAACAAACAAAGAAAAAAATGCCCTTAAGAGTTCTTTTATAAAAATAAAAACAGAAAAAAAATAGATAACTTAATTTCCAGAGATCTCCAGGACAACCCCCTACCATCAAATCCTAGTCCCCCAACTAATCCCACCCAACCCCCAGAGGCTACTGGGTTCTTCCTGCCTCAGGTGTTCACACTACACCCGGCGCCCCTATTTGATGAGCCATCTTCCTGTGCCTACTCCTTGCTTCACCAGGTCCTGTTCTTACGAGTTTACTGTTACTCTTCATGTTATAGGGTAAGTGAGACCTTATTCTTGTATTAACTTGCCCCAGAGTATACTCTTTGGAACTCGGCAATATTTCTCCCTATGATGTACCAAGGAGGTTGATTACTGACACATGCTAGAAGAAATTAAATACGCTTAGTGGTCAAAGGATTACTTGAGAGACTGCTAATCATTTCCACCCTTTCGGGAAATGTGTATTGAGTCTACCATGTGTCAGGAGTTGTTCTGGGACCTGGGTATCATAGTCATGTGGCATAGCCCCTGCCTTCGAAGGATTTGATGTAGGGGCGGTTTAGAATGAGCATCTCAATATTGAATCCAGCACCTAGTCCTATCCATTTTATCTGCTCTAATATATCTCAAGTCTGTCCACTCGTTTTCATCCCTCCACATCCCTGGGCTAGCCACCATGTGGACCATGTGGCCTTCTCTGAGTCATTGCAGTAGCTGAAGAGGCTGGGAATGGCCTTCTCTACAGTATGACACACACCTAAGAGGGATCCTTTAAAAATGCAAATCTGATTGTTTCAGTCAGCCTCCTTAAACCTATTCAGTGGTTTTCCATTGATCTTAGGTTAAAGACCCAAGTCCTTAACCTGACCTCTAAGGCCCTGCAAGGGGTGGCCCCTCCTCTCCAGCCTCATCTCCCACCACACCCCCTCACTCGTGTGCTCCAGTTGCTGTCCACCTTGTGCTTCCTCCTGCACAGAGTCTCCAGGGAGGCTGGACCCTCTGTGGAACGGCTCCTTCCTCTGTTCCTCTCCTCTTAGCTCCTCTTCATTCTTCAGGCCTCACCTTCTCAATAGCCTCAGGGAAGCCTTCCTGACCTTCTTTTCAGGGTCAAATTCTCCTGTTATGAGCGCTCACACTAAGGTGTACCTTTCCTCAGAGGCACTTGGCCCTGTTGGAGTTCTACATTTGTTGATGATTATGTACAGACTGATGTCTGTCTGCCCCATTGAATGTAAGCTCCCTGAGGGCAGGGACTATGACTGCAGATGCTCACTCTTGCCACTCCCTGGACCTAACACTGGATACTTTATAAATAGTGGTTGAATAGATGCATTCATGGCAGGATCTGGGCAGGAGGCTAGATATTTCAGGATTTCAGAGGTGATGAATTAAGGCCATGATTCTCCCTCCTGTAGCTGCAGCCCAAGAATCCCATGTGCTATTACCTAACACTGTTACTTCCTCCTTAATTCCTGGCATCATTCAGGTCCACAGCCCTGCCTTCATCCCAGGCTTCCTCCATCTTGCCTGTGAGACCCTCTCCCTCTTTAACTTTTTAGTTCCCCTTTCTGGTTTTGCCTCATTGACTTCAGAAGCCAGCATGGAATAATGTCGCAAGACCCAGGATCCAGAACTGGAGGCCAGGTGCAGTGGCTCACTGCTAAAATCCCAGAATTTTGGGAGGCCAAGGCAAGAGGATTGCTTGAGCTCAGAAGTTCAAGACCAGCCTGGGCAACATAGTGAGACTTCGTCTCTACAAAATATTTTTTCAACTTTTATTTTAAGTTCCGGAGTACAAGTGCAGGATGTGCAGGTTTGTTACATAGGTGAACATGTGCTATGATGGTTTGCTGCACCTGTCAACCCATCACCTAGGTATTAAACCCGGTATCCATTAGCTATTCTTCCTGATGCTCTCCCTCCTGCCACTTCCCCTTCTGACAGACTTCAGTGGGTTATTGTTCCCCCCACCCACATGTGTCCAGGTGTTTTCATCGTTCAGCTCCCACTTATAAGTGAGAACATGTGGTGTTTGGTTTTCTGTTCCTGTGTTAGTTTGCTGAAGATAGTGGCTTCCAGTTCCATCCACATCCCTGTAAAGGACATGATCTCATTCCCTTTTATGGCTGCATAGTATTCCATGGTGTACGCATACTACATTTTCTTTTTTCTTTTTTTTAAGGTGGTGTCTTGCTCTGTCACCCAGGCTGGAGAGCAGTGGCACAATCTCGGCTCACTGCAACCTCTGCCTCCTGGGTTCAAGCGATTCTTCTGCCTCAGCCTCCCAAGTAGCTGGGACTATAGGCGAGTGCCACCACACCCTGTTAATTTTTGTATTTTTAGTAGAGACAGGATTTCACCATGTTGGCCAGGCTGGTCGTGAACTTCTGACCTTGTGATCTGCCCACCTCGGCCTCCCAAAGTTCTGGGATTACAGGTATGAGCCATCGTGCCCGGCATTTTTTTTTTTTTTTTTTTTTTTTTGAGATAGAGTCTCACTCTGTCACCCAGGCTGGAGCGCATTGGCACAATCTCAGCTCACTGCAACCTCTGCCTCCCGGGTTCAAGAAATTCTCCTGCCTCAGCCTCCTGAGTAGCTAGGATTACAGGCATTTGCCACCACACCTGGCTAATTTTTTTGTATTTTTAGTAGAGACAGGGTTTCACTATGTCGGTCAGGCTGGTCTCGAACTCCTGATCCACCTGCCTCAGGCTTCCTAAGTGCTGGGATTACAAGTGTGAGCCACCACGCCTGGCTGCATACTACATTTTCTTTATCTAGTCTTTCATTGATAGGCATTTGGGTTGACGCCATGTCTTTGCTATTGTGAATAGTGCTGTAGTGAACTACAAAATATTTAAAAATTAGCCAGGTGTGGTGGCTTGTGCCTGTAGTCCCAGCTACTTGGGAGGCTAAGGTGGTAAGGTTCGTTGAACCTGGGAGTTTGAGGCTGTAGTGCTCTATGATTGAGGCTGTGAATAACCACTGTATAGTGAGAACCTGTCTATTTCTTTTTTAATCTTTTTAATCTAGCTAACTAGGAATAGAAAGTAACTTCCAAAGTCAAGACAAGGATACCAGTTTTTACTGTTTCTATTCACCTTTCTGCCAAGAAGTCTGAAGTGACACAAGAAGAAAAAGAAGAAATAAAGCCATCACTATACATAGACAATTACTATACATAGATTGCTTACTATACAAAGAAAATTCACAAGAACCTACCAACTATTAGAAATAACAATTTCCTTGCCGGGGGCAAGGAGAATACACAAACATCAATATCCTTACACCACAGCAATAAACAGATAAAATATTTCATTTTAGGCCAGGCATCGTGGCTCACGCCTGTAATCCCAGCTCTTCCGGAGGCCAAGGCAGGCGGATCATGAGGTCAGCAGATCGAGACCGTCCTGGCTAATACAGTGAAACCCCGTCTCTACTAAAAATACAAAAAATTAGCTGGGCGAGTTGGCAGGCACCTGTAGTCCCAGCAACTGGGGAGGTTGAGGAAGGAGAATGGCGTGAACTCAGTAGGCGGAGCTTGCAGTGAGCCGAGATTGCGCCACTGCACTCCAGCCTGGGCGACAGAGCGAGACTCCGTCTCAAAAAAAAAAAAAAAGAAAAGAAAATACCATTTGTCATAACAAAAATCATAAGATACTTAGGAATAAATATAACAAAGTCTGTGTATGATATTTATGGAGAAAATTATAAAGTTTTATTAGAGAACATAAAGAAGATATAAAAGAATAGGAAGAGATCCCCTACTCACAAAGACGGAAGTTTGATATAAAGCTGATAATTTTTCTCAAATCTAAAAATTCAGTACAATTCTAAGCAAAACTCCAATCAGATATTTTATGGAACTTGACAGACTGTTCTTAAAATTCTTTTTTTTTTTGAGACGGAGTCTCACTCTGTTACCGAGGCTGGAATGCAATGGCGCGATCTCGGCTCACTGCAAGCTCCACCTCCCAGGTTCAAGTGATTCTCCTGGCTCAGCCTCCTGAGTAGCTGGGACTACAGGTGCGCACCACCACGCCCGGCTAATTTTTTTGTATTTTTAGTACAGACGGGGTTTCACCATGTTGGTCAGGCTGGTCTTGAATTCCTGACCTCGTGATCTGCCCGCCTCGGCCTCCTCAAGTGCTGGGATTATAGGCATGAGCCACCACACCCGGCCTTAAAATTCTTATGGAAGAGTAAATGGCCAAGAAAAAACAAAACTTGAAGCAGAAGAATATGAGATCCCTTGCCTAACCATATGTCACAAGTTTACTGGTTGAAACTTAGAGTGATTAAAACAGTCTAGTCCTGGTATATGCACACATAAATAGACCACAGTACAGAACAAAACTTTTTTGAATCAGATCCTAATAGGGTTTGGATCTGTGTCCCTCCCTCTCCAAATCTCATGTCGAATTGTAATCCCCTTTGTTGGAGATGGGGTCTGGTGGGAGGTGATTGGATCATGGAAATGGATTTCCCACTGGGTGCAGTTCTCATGATAGTAAGTTATCATGAGACCCGGTTGTTTAAAAGTGTGTGGAGGCCAGGTGCAGTGGCTCTTGCCTATAATCCCAGCACTTTGGGAGGCTGAGGCAGGAGGATCACTTGAGCTCAGGAGGTCAAGACCAGCCTGGACAACATGCTGAGACATCATCTCTACAAAAATACAAAAATAGTAGCCGAGCATGGTGATGCATGCCTGTGGTCCCAGCTACTCAGGAGGCTGAGGTGGGAGGATCGCTTGAGCCCAGAGGGTGGAGGTTACAGTGAACTGAGATTGTGCCACTGCATTCCAGCCTGGGTAACAGAGCAAGACTCTGTCTCAAAAAAAAAAAAAAAAAAGCGTGTGGCACCTCTTCCCTCTCTTCCTCCTGCTCCAGCCACGTAAGACATGCCTGCTTCCCTTTCACCTTCCACCATGATTGTAAGTTTCCTGAGGCCTCCCCAGCCATGCTTCCTATACAGCCTGTGGAACTATGAGCCAATTAAACTTTATAAATTACCTGATTTCAGGTATTTATCTATAGCAGTGCAAGAATGGACTAATACAGACCCTCAAAGATATGAGACTTGGCTATAATGGAAGTGACATAAATCAGTGGGAAAGTTCAATGGTTTTGAGTTAACTGGCTATCCAAACAAACACACAAAAAATAAATTCTACATTACATCCTACCCAGAAGTAAATTTCAGGTAGCTAGAGTAAAAAGCAAAACTGAAAACTATTCAAAGAAAATATAAGATCACATATTGATGATATCAGAATAGAGAAGGATTTCTTATACAAAATTTTAAAAGTACAAAAGTACAAGCAGTTAACAAAATGAAGAACACTATATGATTATATCAATAGATGGGGGAAAGGCGTTTGACAAAATTTAACATCCTTTCATGATACAAATTCTTAGCAAATTAGGTATAGAAAAAGTGTATCTCAACACAATAAAGCCCATATATGACAAACCCACAGCTAACATCATACATAATCATGAAAAGTTAAAAGATTTTCCTCTAAGATCAGGAACAAGACAAGGATAACCATTCTCACCATTTCTATTCAATATAGTACTAGAAGTTCTAGTCAGAACAGATAGGCAAGAGAAAGAAATACAAGACATCCAAATTGGTCAATGTTGACCAGGTTGGCCTCGAACTCATAGCCTCGCCTCCCTGTGCACCAGGACAGCTGGCTTGAGCCACTGATGCTCCCTAGGCATCCAAATTGGAAAGAAAGAAGTTAAATTGTCACTTTGTAGATGACATGATCTTATATAGAGAAATCCCTAAAGATACCACCAAAAAAACTATTAGAACTAATAAATTCAGTAAAGTTGCAGGATACAAAATCAATATTCAAAAGTCAGTAGCATTACTGTATACTAATAATGCACCAACCAAAAAAGAAATCAAGAAAGCAATCACATTTATAATAGCATCAAAAATATATACTTAGGAATAAATTTAATCAAAGAGGTGAGAAATCTGTACACTGAAAACCATAAAGCATTGAAGAAAGAAATTAAAGACACAAATAAATGGAAAGATATTCCATGTTAATGGATTGGAAAGATTAATATTGTTAAAATGTCCACACTACCCCAAACTGTAGATTCCATCCAACCTCTATCAAAATTCCAATGACATTTTCACAGAAATAGAAAAAAAATCCTAAGATTCATATGGAACCACAAAAGACAAGGACCAAAATGGCCAAAGCAATCTTGAACAAAAGGAACAAAGCTAGAGCCATCACACTACCTAATTTCAGAAGCTGCCACAAAGCTATAGTAATAAAAACAGCATGGTTCTGGAACAAAAACAGACATATAAGACCAGAATAGAGGCCAAAAATAAATCCACACATTTTATGGCCAACTGATCCTTTACAAATATGCCAAGAACATACAATGGGGAAAGGACAGTCTCCTCAATAAACAGTCCTGGGGAAACTGGATATCCACATGTAGAAGAATAAAATTTGACCATATCTCACCTCATATACAAAAATCAACTCAGGCCAGGCATAGTGGCTCACATCTGTAATCCCAGCACTTTGGGAGGCTAAGGCCAATGGGTTACTTGAGGCCAGGAGTTCGAAACCAGCCTGGCCAACATGGTGAAACCTACCAAAAACACAAAAATTAGCCAGGGGTGGTGGCACACACCTATAGTCCCAGCTACTCAGGAGGCTAAGGCACAAGAATTACTTGAATCTGGGAGGCAGAGGTTGCCAAGACCACACCACTGCACTCCAGCCTGAAGAACAGAGAGAGACTGCCTCCAAAAAAAAAAAAAAAAAAAAAAACTACTCAAAATGAATTAAAGACTTAAACATAAGATCTGAAATGGCGGGGTGCGGTGGCTTACACCTATAATCCCAGCACTTTGGGAGGCCAAGGCAGGTGGATCATAAGATCAAGAGATTGAGACCATCCTGGCCAACATGGTGAAGCCCCATCTCTACTAAAAATACAAAAATCAGCTGGGTGTGGTGGTGCACACCTGTAGTCCCAGCCACTCAGGAGGCTGAGGCAGGAGAATTGCTTTTCTCCTATATTTTCTTCTAGTATTTTTACAATTTCAGATCTTTTTTTTGAGATGGAGTCTCGCTCTGTTGCTGGGCTGGAGTGCAGTGGCATGATCTTGGCTTCTTGACATTGGTCTGGGCAATAATTTTTTTGGACAAATGAGATTGCATCAAATGAAAGCTTCTGAACAGCAAAGGAAACAATCAACAGACAACCTACGGAAAGGGACAAAATATTTGTAAACTATACATCTGATAAGGGGTGAATATTTTTATAAGAAACTTAATAGCAAGAGTTGTTGAAAACCAAAAATCTGATTTTTTTTCTTTAAGTTGGGGTCTCACCCTGTTGCTCAGGCTGGAATACAGTGCCGCAATAATAACTCACTGCAGCCTTCAACTCCCAGGCTCAAGCAATCCTCCCACCTCAGCTTCCCAAGTAGCTGGGACCACAGGCACACCCCACCGTGCCCTGCTAATTTTTAAAATTTTTTTGTAGAGACAGGGTTTCCCTATGTTGCCCAGATTTATCTTGAACTCCTAGGCTCAAGTGATCCTCCTGCCTTGGCCTCCCAAAGTGCTGGAATTACAAACATAAGCCACTGCATCCAGCCAAAAATCTGATTTTACAATGGGCAAATGATCTGAAAAAACATTTCTCAAAAGAAGACACATAAATGGCCAACAGGTATATGAAAAACAAATGCTCAATATTGCTAATTATCAAGGAAATGAACATTTAAACCACAGTGAGATATCACCTCATACCTGCTAAGATGGCTCTGATAAAAAAAATAAAAATAAACCAAGAGATTACAAGTGGTGGCAAGGATGTGGAGAAAAAGGAACCCTCACAAACTGTTGGTAGGAATGTAAATTTGTACACCTATTTTGGAAAACAGAATGGAGCTTCCTCAAAAAATTAAAACTACCATGTGATCCAGTAGTTCCATTATCAGGTATATTTCGAAAGAAATGAACTCAGTATGTTGAAGAGATATCTGTATTCCCAAGTTCACTGCACCATTATTCACAATAGCCAAGACATGGAAACAACCTAAGTGTCCATCAATGAATAAATAGAGAGATTATGGAACATATACACAATGGAATACTATTCAGTCTTTAAAAAGAAGGAAATTCTGTCATCTGTGACAACATGGATAAAACTAGAGGATATTATGCTAAATGAAATAAACCAGGCACAGAAAGACAAATACCATGATTTCATTTACATGTGGAACCTAAAGAGTCAAACTCAGCCAGGCATGGTGGCACGTGCCTGTAGTCCCAACTACTCGGGAGGCTGAGGCAGGAGGATCTCTTGAATCCAAGAGTTTGAGGCTGCAGTGAGCTGTGATCAGACCTCTGGACTCCAACCCAGACAACAGAGTGAGACCCTGTCTCAAAATAAATTTAAAAAAATAAATAAATAAAATAAAATTGCAGAAGCAGAGAATAGAATGGTGGCTGCACAGGGGCTAGGGGGCGGGGGGCGGGTGTGGGCAGGGATTGGAGAGCTTTAGTCAAAGGATACAAAATTTCAGTTAGGTAGAATAAATTCAGGAGATCTATTGTATAACATGATGACTAGAGTTAATAACAATGTATTGTATACTTGAAAATTGCTGGCCAGCTGCAGTGGCTTATGTCTGTAAACCCAGCACTTTGGGAGGCTGAGGTGGGTGGATCGCTTGAGACCAGTTCGACACCAGCTTGGGCAACATGGTGAGACCCCATCTCTAAAAAAAATAGAAAAATTAGCTGGGCGCAGTGGCTCATGCCTGTAATCCTAGCATTTCGGGATGCCGATTGCTTGATTGCTTGACCCCAAGAATTCAAGACTAGCCTAGGTAACATAGTGAGACCCTGTCTCTACAAAAAATTGAAAAAATTAGCAGGATGTGGTGGCACGTGCCAGTAGTCCCAGCTACTTGGGAGGCTGAGAAGAGAAAATCACTTGAGCCTGGGAGGTCCAGGCTGCAGTGAGCTATAATCTTGCCACTGCACTCTAGCCTGGGCGACAGAGCAAGATCCTGTCTCAAAAAAAAAATAAAAATAAAAATAATTGCTAGGAGAGTACATTTCAAATATCACGTTTAAAATGATAGTATGTGAGATAACAGATACAGTAATTACTCTAGCCATTACACACACACACACACACACACATATATATACACACATCATGTTGTTACACCATAGATACAATTTTTATTTGTCGACTATAAATAAATGCACAAGCAATAAAGGAAAATATTGATACATATGACCACGTTAAAACATTTTTAAGCTTTTATAAGAAATCACATAGGCCGGGCGCGATGGCTCAAGCCTGTAATCCCAGCACTTTGGGAGGCCAAGGCGGGTGGATCACAAGGTCAGGAGATTGAGACCATCCTGGCCAACATGGTGAAACCCCGTCTCTACCAAAAATACAAAAAAATTAGCTGGACGTGGTAGTGGGTGCCTGTAGTCCCAGCTACTCGGGAGGCTTAGGTAGGAGAATGGCGTGAACCCATGAGGCGGAGCTTGCAGCGAGCCGAGATTGTGCCACTGCACTCCAGCCTGGGCGACAGAGCAGGATTCCGTCTCAAAAAAAAAAAAAAAAGAAATCACGTAAAGTAAAAGACAAGCCACAGACTTAGAGAATATTCACAATCTACATAAACAACAAAGGATTATATCCAGGATTCATAAAGAAGTTGCAGATCCATATGAAAAGGACAACGCAAGAGAATATGAGCAAAAGCTGTGAATAGGTGAGTCACAAAAGAGAAACCTAATGGTCAATAAACATAAGAAAAGATGCTCAATTTAACCAGTAATGTAGAAATGCAAATCACAGCGCGAGTTACCATTTTACACCCACAAAATCACCAAAATTAAAATTATTCTAACACTGTTGACAAAAATGTGGGACAATAGGAATGCATATATTTTGTGTTGAAGTGTAAACAGATACAACAAATTTGAAGAGAATTTTGGCACCAGTTAATGCTGAAAATGAATATTCCCTATGACCCAGCAATCTTGCTTCTAGATCTATTCCTTAGAAAAACATTTCTACACATGCACAAAAAGGCGAGGATAAAAATGGTCATTGCAGTATCAGTTAATTGTCAAGAAGAAGTGGAAATAAGCTAACTGTTGTTAAGTAAAATGGATAAATAAAGTATGGTTTGTTCTTATAATGGGATACTATACAGCAGTTAAATGAATTATAGACATATTTAGCAATGTAATGAGTAAGAAACTTGCAAAAATGGATGTTGTATGATATTATTTGTGTGAGTTTTAAAATACACAAAACAGTGGTATATGTTTAGGAAAGCAAACATTTTTTAAAAGTGCAAAGTACGCATGGGAATAATTCCCAACAACTTTAGAATGATAATTACTACAAGGAAGGAGAGAAATGGGATGGGCGTTAACCGAATTTGTAATCCATTTTTTTTATTTTTAATTTTAAAGAAAAGTGATACAAAGCAGGCGATGCAAAGGTGAGGATTTGCTTAACTGGGTTGCTGTGATCATGAAATGAGCCAATCAATGGGACAGTGCTGAATGAAAGTTGTTGCCAGTCTCTTTAGAAGGGTACAATGATGGTGGCTGTGCAGGTGGAGAGATGTGATTTCCTGACCTATTCTCTCCTCCACCCTGTGTTGAGTCTCACGCCTCCTATTGGACGGTATAAATTGGTATAAATCTTTTTTTTTTTTTTTTTTTTGAGACAGAGTCTCACTGTCACTCAGGCTGGAGCGCAGTGGCATGATCTCAGCTCACTGCAACCTCCGCCTCCCAGATTAAAGCGATTCTCCTGCCTCAGCCTCCTGAATAGCTGGGATCACAGGCAGCCGCCACCATGTCCAGCTAATTTTTGTATTTTTAGTAGAGACGGGGTTTCACCATGTTGGTCAGGCTGGTCTCAAACTCCTGACCTCGTGATCCGCCCGCTTTGGCCTCCCAAAGTGCTGGGAACAGGCATGAGTGACCACGCCCGGCTGATATAAATCTTAACAGCTACATGCCCCAATTTCCTCACCTACAAAATGTGTGTATTCAAAGTGCTACCTAATAGCATTGTCGTGAGAGTAAATAAGTTGTGTGAAGTGCTTTAGAACACTTACCTGGCTTAGAGTAACTGCTCTAGGCTACTGTTTTTGTTGTTGATGCTGTTATTATGGTTGTTGTTAGGTATCACCTCCAGCTGCATATAAACTCTTTTTTAATCTCAACTTCTAAAAATCTCATAAGAACCTTACTTGGCAACGAAAGTGCCCCAAAACTGAGAAGACCCAGACTCTTCCTTCAATGATCTAGATCAATTTGCACCTCAAATTCCTGTAAGGGCCAGGCAAGTAATGTGCCAAGTGCCAAGGGAAGGCTATAACAGGCTGGAGGGCACCCTCCCCTCCTAGAGGGGCAGCAGCTCCTGGTCCAGCGTTGCCGCATAGGAATTCAGAGCTGGCACTGCCGTGATAAATTGAAAATCTCAATTTTTCTGTAAAATCACTCTTTTTATTTTTCCTTTTTTTTTTTGGCAGGATCTCACGTTGTCACCCAGGCTGGAGTACAGTGCCATGATCCCAGTTCACTGCAGCTTTGACCTCCCAGGTCCAAGTGATCCTCCCATCTCAGCCTCCCAAATAGCTGGGACTACAGGTGTGTGCTGCCACACCTGGCTAATTTTGTATCATATACATATATATATAAACATACACATACACATATGTATATATACATGTATACATATGGGTTCAAGCATTCTTCTGCTAATTTTTTGTATTTTTAGTAGACGTGGGGTTTAACCATGTTGGCCAGGCTGGTCTCGAACTCCTGACCTCAAGTGATCCACCCGCCTTGGCCTCCCAAAGTGCTGGGATTACAGGCATGAGCCATCGCACCCAGCTAATTTTTTTAGTTTTTGTAGAGAGATGGTCTCACTATGTTGTCCAGGCTGGTCTCAAATTTCTGAGCTCGAGTGATCCTCCCACCTCAGCCTCCCAAAGTGCTGGAATCTCAGCCATGAGACACGGCATCTGGACAAAATATAAATGATAATGAATACACATCAATATTTTAAATCAAACACATTTAGATAAAGCTGACTTTTTGCCTGCTTTTTTTTGAAATTTTGGGCTGGGCCCAGTAGCTCACACCTGAAATCCCAGTGTTTTGGGAGGTCAAGGTGGGCAGACTGCTTGAGCCCAGTGTTTTGAGACCCCCCTGGGCAACATGGTGAAATGCCATCTCTACAAAAAATAGAAAACTTAGCCGGGCATGGTGGCACACATATGTGGCCTCAGCTACTCTGGAGGCTGAGGTAGAAGGATTGCCTGAGCCTGGGAGGTTGAGGCTGTAGTGAGCCATGATTGTGCCACTGCACTCCAGCCTGGTGACAGAGTGAGACCCTGTCTCAAAAAAATATATACATATTTATTAATTTTTATTATGTATTGCTATGGCATAAATGTTTGTGCCCCCCTAAAATTCATAAATTGAAACCTAATCCCCAATGTGGTGATATTAAGAGATGGGGCCTTTAGAAGGTGATTAGGTCATGAGGGGCCTGTCCTCATGAATGGGATTAATGCCGTTATAAAAGAAGCCCAGGCTGGGTGCGGTGGCTCATGCCTGTAATCCTAGCACTTTGGGAGGCTCAGGCGGGCTAATCATTTGAGGTCGGTAGTTCAAGACAAGCCTGGTCAACATGGAGAAACCCCATCTCTACTAAAAACACAAAAATTAGCCAGTCATGGTGGCAGGCATTTGTAATCCCAGCTATTCAGGAGGCTGAGGCAAGAGAATCACTTGAACCCTGGAGGCAGAGCTTGCAGTAAACCGAGATCACGCCACTGCACTCTAGCCTAGGTGACACAGCGAGACCCTGTCTTAAAAAAAAGAGGCCCAAAGGAGCTTGTTTGCCCCTTCCACCCGTGAAGATGCAGCAAGAAGGCGCCATCTATGAAGCAAAGTGTGCCCTCACTGGCTACCAAATCTGCTGGCACCACCTGCTTGGACATTCTAGCCTCCAGAACTGTAAGCAGTGTTTATTATTTATAAATTGCTCAGTGTAAGGTATTTTGTTATAGCAGTCTGAATGGACTAAGACAGATAGTTTTATAAAAATTAAACTACAGTTGGCATTTTGTATCTGTAGGTCCACACCTATGGATTCAACCAACTGAAGAATAAAAATATTTTTAAAATATATATGGCCAGTCCGGGCGCGGTGGCTCACGCCTGTAATCCCAGCACTTTGGGAGGTCAAGGCGGGTGGATCACAAAGTCAGGAGATCAAGACCATCCTAGCTAACGCGGTGAAACCCCATCTCTACTAAAAATGCAAAAAAATTAGCCGGGCATGGTGGCGGGCACCTGTAATCCCAGCTACTTGGAAGGCTGAGGTAGGAGAATGGCGTGAACCTGGGAGGCAGAGTTTGCAGTGAGCTGATATCCTGCCATAGCACTCCAGCCTGGGTGACACAGCAAGACTGTCAGAAAGAAAGAAAGGAAGGAAGGAAGGAAGGAAGGAAGGAAGGAAGGAAGGGAAGGGAAGGAAGGAAGGAAAGAAAGAAAAAATAATACAAATAAAAAATACAGTATAACATATATTTATACAGCATTTACATTGCGATAGGCACCATAGATAACCTAGGGATGATTTAAAGTATGTGGAAGAATGTGCATAGGTTATATGCAAATACTATGCCATGTTATACAAGGGGTTTGAACATCAGTGGGGGTTTTGGAATCAATCCCTGGTGAATACTGAGGATGATTGTATTCATAATCTCGTATTCAATGTCCATCTATTACAACATAGAGAATCAATATCATACTTCACAAGAGTTATATCTAGACCTACATGTATTCAATTTTTTTTTCAATAGGCTTTTGGGGAACAGGTGGTGTTCAGTTACATGAATAAGTTATTTAGTGGTGATTTCTGAGATTTTGGTGCCCCCATCACAGGAGGAGTGTACACTGTAAATGTGTAGTTTTTTATCCCTCACCACCCCTCCCACCACATGCATATAAATTTAACAGTAATAAGGATTGTTTAATACAGCAACATGTTCCTCAGCTATCCTTTGCAACTGTTGTAAATGCAGCACAACATACATCCATACCTCTAAAACAAAGAGAAACAAGAAAAACCACACTCAACACTATTGGGAAATGATACTTTGTCATGCTATTTGAGAGGTAATATTTAACAAGCTGGTTAAAGTGATTTCACTTACATGTTTCCACTGCTTAAATCCTCCCTACACTCCAAAGCAGTACATGCTTCAGAATCCAGGCAGAGGCACAACCTCAGATTTTCACAGAATTGGCTATAGTCATCTTTTGTTTCCAGGATACAGGGCAAGAGATTACAGAAGTCACCATTCCCCAGGGCTTGAACGGCGTTGATTACAAGAGCAGATGTGTAAGATTTCAGGTTGTGCTGTTCCAGCACTGACAGCAGATCAGTGACAGAGGTGCCCAGGTGTCATGTAATAAATGTGTGTGATAAGTTGTTTGTGATAGGTGAATCCCCCTAAAGTATGTGGGCCAGGGCAGGGCCCCTGTGGTTCAGATCTGAGGATGATACTGCTTCTGTGGGAAGATCATGACTTCTGTTTCAAATATGCTAAGTTAAGCTGGGCACCGTGGCTCATGCCTGTAATCCCAGCACTTTGGGAAGCTGAGGCAGGTGGATCACCTGAGGTCAGGAGTTTGAGACCAGCCTGGCCAACATGGTGAAACCCCATCTCTACTGAAAATACAAAAAGTTTGCCGGGTGTCGTGGCGGATGCCTGTAATCCCAGCTACTCCGGAGGCTGAGGTAGGAGAATCACTTGAACCCAGGAGGCGGAGGTTGCAGTGAGCCAAGGTCTTGCCACTGCACCCCAGCCTGGCCAACAAGAGCGAAACTCTGTCTCCCAAAAAAAAAAAAAAAAAAGCTAAGTTAGTAATACCTTTGGGACATCCAAGTAGGGATGCCAGGCAGGAAGGTGGTCAAATCTGGAGATTTGAGGCAAGAGATAAATTTGAGAGTAACCAGCTGATGGGAACTGAAGCCACAGGACAGGTGTGATCCCCTAGAAGGAAAGGGTAGCATAAGAAGAGGAGGGTCCAGGACCGACCTCTCTTGATGAACTCCAATATGACCAGGTGATTTCAGTCAAAGGCGGAGTGAGCCGGCTGAGGGGTGGAAGAGCAGCCGATGGAGGGATGGGAGGAAGCCAGAAGAGGCCAAATCCTGGAGGCCAAAAAACGACAGTGTTTCAAGAAAGAACTGGCCAGCAACGTCAGCTACTAGTGGCAGTTCAAGTAAGAAGAAAACGAAACAATGGACTTAATGACATAAAGTTCATTGCAAAAAAACATTTG
The DNA here is from genome assembly GCF_000001405.40 of Homo sapiens. Classification (NCBI taxonomy): domain Eukaryota; kingdom Metazoa; phylum Chordata; class Mammalia; order Primates; family Hominidae; genus Homo; species Homo sapiens. The sequence goes on from NT_167245.2 coordinate 4,476,055, forward strand.
AGTAGCAGCAAGGTAGAGATAAACACCAGCCTGAAAGGGTCGAGCAGTGAGTGGAAGTGAGAGAATTTTGCCCAGTTTTTTTATTATGAAAAATTTCAAACATACAGAAAACTTGAAAATATAATACAATATTGTTTGTATGTCGATCATTTTACTTAGATTTAACAATTGTTATTTATACATATATACAAATATTTATATATTATATATATACAAACATATATATATACACACACATATATATATGGTTCTTTTTTTTTTTTTCCAAGACAGGGTCTCACTTCATCGCACAGGGTGGAGTGCAGTGACCTGATCATAGCTCATCTCAGCTTCAAACTTTTGGGCTCAAGCGATCCTCCCACCTCAGCCTCTCAAGTAACTGGGGCCACAGGTGCATGGCACCATGCCCGGCTAATTTTTAAATTTTTTGTAGAGACAAGGTATCGCCTTGTTGCCCAGCTGGTCTCAAACTGGACTCAGGTGATCCTCTTGCTTTGGCCTCCCAAAGTTCTGGGATTACAGACATGAGCCACAGTGCCAAGGCCTATATACGTCTTTGTGGGCTTGTTTTTAGTTTTTTGTTTTGAGATGGAATTTCGCTCTTGTTGCCCAAGCTGGAGTGCAATGGCGCGATCTCGGCTGTACGCAACCTCCGCCTACTGGGTTCAAGCAATTCTCCTGCCTCAGACTCCCGAGTAGCTGTGATTACAGGCATGCGCCACCACGCCAAGCTAATTTTGTATTTTTACTATAGATGGGGTTTCTCCATGTTGGTCAGGCTGGTCTTGAACTTCCGACCTCAGGTGATCCGCCTGCCTCAGCCTCCCAAAGTGCTCGGATTGATTACGGGCATGAGCCACTGTGCCCAGCCCTTTTTTTTTTTTTTAAACATAGAAATTGTTGAGTGACTACTAAAACATTCTTGGACCATATGAAAATATAGGAAAGCATGTGCTTCACACCTAAGTACCTCAGCATGCATCTCCCAAAAATAAGGAGATTCCATAACCACAATACGTAATCACAGCTAAGAAAATAATGATCATGGCCAGGCACGGTGGCTCACACCTGTAATCCCAGCATTTTGGGAGGCTGAGGCAGGAGGATCACAAGGTCAACAGATTGAGACCATCCTGGCCAATATGGTGAAACCCCGTCTCTACTAAAAATACAAAAATTAGCCGGGCGTGGTGGTGCATACCTATAATCCCAGCTACTTGGGAGGCTGAGGCAGGAGAATTGCTTGAACCCAGTAGGGACAGGTTGCAGTGAGCTGAGATTGCGCCACTGACCTCCAGCCTGGTGACAGAGCAAGACTCAGTCTCAAAAAAAAAAACAAAATTAGAAAATAACGATCATTTCTTCACTTCATCTGATAGCAGAATATACTCAAATATTCCCCAGTTAGCCTCAAAATGTCTTTTATATATATATTTATATATATATATATCTTTCTTTTTAATTTCTTTCCTTCCTTTCTTCTGTTTTTCCTTCCTTCCTTCCTTCCTTTCTCTCTCTCCTCCCTTTCCTTCCTTCCTTTCCTTCTTTCTTTTTTGACTGGGTCTCACTGTCACCCAGGCTAGAGTGCAGCAGTGCAATCACAGCTCACTACAACCTCCACCTCCCAGGCTCAAGTGATCCTCCCACCTCAGCCTCCTAAGTAGCTGGAACTACTATTTAGGTGTGACCCACCACACCTGACTAATTTTTGTATTTTTTTTTTTTTGTAGAGACAGGGTTTTTCTCTGTTGCCCAGGTGGGTCTTGAACTCCTGAGCTTAAGTAATCCACCTGCCTTGAACTCCTGAGCTCAAGCAAAGTGCTGGAATTACAGGCGTGAGCCACTGCATCCAGCCTATGCATATATTTCAAATCAGGATCAAATCAAGGTACATGCGCTGCATGCATTGTGTTCCTCTTGGAGGGGTGTGGATCTGGTGACAGATGGTTGAGGGAGCTCACCTCTGATGACTTTCATTTTCTCTGTGACATAAGAGGGAGGTCATCAAGTGAGCATGAGGTGAGAGACAGAAGAGCCTCAGAGGTTCAAGGATCAGGGAGGTTTAACGTAGCCATTGACCAGAGTGATGTGGTTGGGCCACTAAACAATTCTGGGAGCCTCCTTAGAGTTCATGATCATGAGTGAGGAGTGGGAACCATTTCCTGATTGTGTGATTTCCCCCACCACCACCAACAGTTCTTGGCTATCAGAGTAAAATCCTGAAGAAAACAGATCACTGGGCTCATCCAGGGTTGGGGTTTTGCCACTTGGGTACAAAGGATGAAAATACAGAGGGGAAGGGGAGTTGGCGACATTGTCCAGAGAGGTGTTGAAATGAAGGGTTGTGGAGTTGAGCTGAATAGGGAGGGGCTCATAAGCTGGAAGACGGAAGGCATCATTGATCCAAAGGTCCTAGGAGACTGAAAATTGGTTGCGAGGAGGGCAGACAGACTGATGGACAGACGGTTAGGAGGTGGGGGCCAAGAGCAGGCTGCTTGACTGATTCTCAAGGAGGGGCTCTTTCAGGTGATAAGGTCCAGGGTATGACAATGAGAATGTGTGGCCGAGTTGGAGAGGAGAAGATTCTTGGGGATTAAGTGGCCAGGTTATTGAGAGGTCAAGTAGGGAATGGATCCTCCAGGTGGACAATGAAGTCTCCCAGAGGGAGGACTCAATGCAAAGACAGACGGTCAGCTGGGCCAGCGTTCCCCTGAGTGAGGTGGAGGGGTCTGGCAGACAGTAGCAGTGAGAAAGGAAGAGGAAAGTTTAGCCTAATTGCAGTGCCTGGAAGGCCGCGGGTTATTTTAAACTAGAGTTGGGGGCTGGGGGAGGAGTAGTCCGGAGGCAGCAATCTGAAGCCAGGAGAGCACCCTCAGCTGTAAGAAAATCAACAGCTCTCATTTCAGAAGCCTGCAAAGGAGGTAGTGCCCTCAAGGGAGAGTTAAATTTCACTTAACGCCAGGAAGTGGAGGGAATGCTCCAAGGAGAAGCTAAGGGTATGAGGGGGGCTACAGTTTATTAGAGGGCACAGGCAGGTTAGGGAGGGGGAAAGTGGAGGGCTGAGTCAGAGCCAGAAGGTACAGAGTGTCATGGAGACACAGTGCAATAGAGTAGGTGGGCTTGGGAGTTTATGTTTTCACTATGAAATGATAAAAACAAGGACAGGAGGCAGGCTGGATTTCACCCAGTTAGTTTCTTGGAAGCTGTAAAAAGTGGCGTTTAAGAATGTAGCCTTGGCCAGGCACGATGGCTTATGCCTGTATCCCAGCACTTTGGAAGGCCAAGGCAGGCGGATCGCTTGAGGTCAGGAGTTTGAGACCAGCATGGCCAATATGGTGAAGCCCCGTCTCTATTAAAAATGGAAAAAACAGCCAGGAGTGGTGGCAGGTGCCTGTAATCCCAGCTACTCGAGAGGCTGAGGCAGGAGAATTGCTTGAACCCGGGAGGCGGAGGTTCCAGTGAGCCAAGATCACGCCACTGCACCACTCCAGCCTGGGGGACAGAGCAAGACTCGTCTCATTAAAAAAAAAAAAAAAAAAAGAATGTAGCTTCAGGCGGGGTGCAATAGCTCACGCCTCTAATCCCAGCACTTTGGGAGGCCAGGAGTACAAGACCAGCCTAGCAAACATGGTGAAACCCCATCTCTACTAAAAAAAATACAAACATTAGCCAGGTGTGGTGGTATGCACCTGTAATCCCAGCTACTTGGGAAGCTTAGGTAGGAGGATGACTTGAGCCCAGAAGGTGGAGGTTGCAGTGAGCCAAGATGGTGCCACCACACTCCAGCCTGAGCAACAAAGCCAGACCCTGTCTCAAAAAAAAAAGAAAAAAAGAAAAGAAAAGAAAGAAAAGGAAGGAAGGAAGGAAGGAGAGAGAGAGAAAGAAAGAAAAGATAAAGAAATAAAGAAAGAAAGGCAGGCAAGAAAGTGGCTTCTAAAGCAGAACTGGCTGCATTCCAATTCCAGCTTTGTCATGCACTAACTGTCCTGTCTATAACCTTGGCAAGGTCTCTGGGCATCAATTTCCTCTCTGTAAAATGGGGATAACACTAGTACCCACCTCACAGGGTTGCTGTGACAATTCAAAGATGCAATGTGTTAAATGTTGATATGGTTTGGATCTGTGTCCCCACCAAATCTCATGTAGTCCCAGTGTTGGAGGTGGAGCCTGGTGAGAGGTGGTTGGATTATGGGAGTGGATTCTCACGAATGGTTTAGCACCATCCTCCTGGTGCTGTTCTCATGATAGAGAGTTCTGGCAAGCTCTGGTTGTTTAAAAGTGTGCCGCACCTCCTCCCTCTCTCTCGGCTCCTGCCATGTGAGAAGGCTCGCTCCTCCTTTGCCTTCTGCCATAATTGTAAGTTTCTGGAGACCTCCCCAGAAGGCAAGCAGATGCCAGCATCATGCTTCCTGTAGAGCCCACAGAACCATGAGCCAATTAAACCTCTTTTTTTTTTTGAGATAGGGTCTTGCTCTGTCGCCCAGGCAGTGGCGCAATCACAGCTCACTGTAGCCTCTACCTTCTGGTCTGAAGCAATTCTCCCACCTCAGCTCCCCAAGTAGCTAGAACCACAAGCACATGCCACCATACCCAGCTAAGTTTTGAATTTTTTATAGAGACGGGTTTTTGCCATGTTGCCCAGGCTGGTCTCAAACTCTTGAGCTCAAGTGATTAACCCTCCGGCCTCAGCCTCCCAAAGTGCTGCTAGGATTACAAGCATGAGCCACTGTGCCCAGCAAACATCTTTTCTTTTCTTTTTTTCCGAGACGGAGTCTTGCTCTGTCACCCAGGCTGGAGTGCAGTGGCATGATCTTGGCTCACTGCAACCTCTGCCTCCCCGGATCAAGTGATTCTCCTGCTTCAGCCTCCCAAGTAGCTGGGATTACAGGTGCTGGCCACCATGCCCGGCTAATTTTTGTATTCTTAGTAGAAACGGGGTTTCACCATATTGGCCAGGCTGGTCTCAAACTCCTGACCTCAAGTGATCCACCTGCCTCAGCCACCCAAAGTGCTGGGACTACAGGCATGAGCCACCGCGCCCGGCAACCTCTTTTCTTTATAAGTTACCCAGTTTCAGGTATTTCTTTATAGCAGTGCGAGAAGGGACTAATGCAAATGTTTACAACAGTGCGCAAATATTTATAACAGTGCTTGGGCTGTCACCTCAGACACACTTGGTGGAGCCTTGCAGGCCCAGCAGAGCAGCCTCTTTGATTACCTGAACCCTGCCCCTGGCTAGGTAGGAAACATGAAGTGGATGATAATGATGACTTGATGAGCAGTTGTGAATGCATAAATTATATGGAGACACTAAGGACTGCAACAGACAAGAAGATCTCAGTGACAAACGGGTTATTTAGGGCAGCAGCCAACTGACTCCCACAATGAGTGGGATCTGGACAAGAAGGCGTGGTTTCCCAAGGCCACTGAAGGTTTCATTGCTACATACCCAGCCAAGTGTGGCTTTTCTAATGGTGGGGCATCTAGCTCTCCTGCAAATGTACAAAATGTCAATGCTAGGAATGCAGAATTTCTGCAAAGAAAACCCCCCAAACCCACTGATCCTAAAAACAGGGGAGATAAAAGAAAAATGGAATGAGGATAATTTCATGTTGAAGAAGACAGAAATACAAATGTCTATATATCTGGTTTGCCTCCAGGAGAAATCCTCAGAAGACTTCAAAGTCAAGCTTTATGAAGATGATCAAAGAAATCTTAAAGGAGATGCGCTTTGCTGTTACTTGAAGAGGGAATCTGTGGGCCTTCCATTAAAGCTTTTGGATGAAAATGAAATTAGAGGCTGTAGGCCAGGTGCAGTGGCTCACGCCTGTAATCCAAGCACTTTGGGAAGCTGAGGCAGGTGGATCACCTGAGGCCAGGAGTTCGAGACCAGCCTGGCCAACATGGCAAAACACCGTCCCTATTAAAAATACAAACATTAGCCGGGCATGGTGGTGCATACCTGTAGTTCCAGCTACTCAGGAGGCTGAGGCAGCAGAATCGCTTGAACCCTGGAGGCAGAGGCTGCAGTGAGCCGAGATCATGTCATTGCACTCCAGCCTGGGCAACAAGAGTGAAATTCCATCTCAAAAAAAAAAAAAAAGAGGTTACAAGAAGAAGCTGTCACTACAACAAAAGCTGTTGGTCTGGGGATCTGCAAGGGAGCTGGGCCATCCAGAAGGTACCATAAGCAAGTTGTCATAATCAAACATATGTTTCATCCTATGGATATTTTTGGTTGTTTTGTTTGTTTTCTGAGATAAGGTCTCACTATTGCTCAGGCTGGAGTACAGTGGCGTGATCACAGCTCACTGTGCAGCCTCAACCTCCTGGGCTCAAGGAATCCTCCTATCTCAGCTTCCCAAGTAGCTGGGACCACAGGTGTACACCACCATTCCTGGCTAATTTTTTTAAAAAAATTTTTGTAGGCCGGGCATGGTGGCTCACACCTGTAATCCCAGCACTTTGGGAGGCTGAGGCGGGTAGATCACGAGGTCAGGAGTTCGAGACCAGCCTGGCCAACGTGGTAAAACCCTGTCTCTACTAAAAATACAAAAATTAGCTGGGCATGGTGGTGGATGCCTGCAATCCCAGCTACTCGGGAGCTGAGGCAGAGAGTCGCTTGAACCCTGGAGGCGGAGGTTGCAGCGAGCCGAGATTGCACCACTGCACTCCAGCCTGGGCGACAGAGTGAGATTCCGTCTCAAAAAAAAAAATTTTTTTTTGTAGAGAAGGTGTCTCACCATGTTTCCCAGGCTGGTCTTGAACTCCTGGGCTCAAGAGATCTGCCCCTTGGCCTCCCAAGGTGTTGTAGTCACAGGCATGGGTCACTGCACCCGGCCCATCCTGTGGATTTTAAGGATGATGAGTTGGTGCTAAATGAGCTCAGAGAACTTTCAGTGCTCAACATTGAGACCAATGAGGAATGTTTTGTTTGACAGACTCATGGATGGTGTGGACTCTGTGTTCTGGAGGAATGCAGAGGAAACGGATTATTATATTCAAGTCCTCCTTGGAAGGTGGTTTGTTGACCCAGACATGGAATAAGGTTACAGACTATTAGGTTCAGGGGACCTCAGGAAAAAGGAGGAAAATCTAAGGGGATGGGAGGCTTTCCTCAGTGCCTGTGAGGCCAACAGACACTTTCAATCTCCAATGTGTGTATGCTTCAGAAAGGGCAAGATGTTGGCTGTCCTTTCACTCTCCACCAGCTGAAATGTGGTCTCTTCCCATTATCGCCATTCTGACCACTCTTCCCAAGTCACAGACACTTCTCAGATGCCAAACCCAAAAGGCGTGGCTGAATTCATTTGCATCAACTCAGGCAATGAATTTGGGAGGAGAGTTCGCTTGTCAGAACGTAAGAACGTCACATTTTGCAGTTGGTAATGTGGAGTCTAGGGACCCTTGGAATCACTTCCCTAGCTGATCGCCAGCACACCCTCTTTCATTCATTCAATCACACTTTAGCTTAGGTGCAGCTGGGAAGGGACTTCGCGGATGTAATTAAAGTCACAAATTGGTTTATCTTGAGGTAATCCAAAGGGAGACTGTGCAGGAGAGGTCTGACTCAATCACATCCAAAGCCTTCAGTGGTGGCTGGAGAGGAGAAAACACATTTCTGCACTTAGGAACCTCCTTTCTCACCTCAATTCTAGCAGCTCAGATGAGGTGTCAGCTCCCTGCAGGCTCTGGATGAGTCCGTGGGGCCACAGAAAAAAGAACTGCAGAAAACTCAGGAATAAAAATGGAGACAGTGACACTTCCAAGTAAAACTACTAGAAGTCTTCAGAAAGTAAGGCAAGAAAAGGAAACTTGAGGACCAGAGAAGCTGCCAGGCCAGTTCATTAAGCCTTGGCTTGACCAGGAAATCCAGTGTTTTCTTGAAGGATGGAAAATCTGGAGATGAAGAATGGGAATCATGTACTGTCAAACGCAGTTGCCAAGGGGTTCAAGCCCAGGGGTGTGAAGAAGAGCTGAGACCTGCCTACAGATGCCAAGATTGCAGGGCTCATCCTGGACTATTAATGAGACCATCCAGAGGCCAAGGAGCTTACAGGGCTCACCTTTGGGGATACTGGCCCAGCAGTGCTGCAGATCCTACCCTGAGTAGAGTGACATGAGAACTGGGCTGGGGGAGTTGAGGAGAAAAGGAAGTCTCAAAGGCTCTGTGTGTTTGTGTGTGTGTGTGTGTGTGTGTGTGTGTGTGTGTCTGTGTGTGTGTGTGTAAACTGGAAATGGTTAAACTCCCCTGTGTGCAGTGGCATACCAAGCAGGGTGGAGTGGGGGGAGGAGGCTACACTGCAAGGGGTATTTTGTCACTAACATTTTTTTATAATTGCTGGTGCGCAGTATCAATAAAAAGTTGGCTTCAGGCTGGGCGCAGTGGCTCACACCTGTAATCCTAGCACTTTGGGAGGGTGAGGTGGGCAGATCACCTGAGGTCAGGAGTTCAAGACCAGCCTGGCCAACGTGGTAAAACCCCGTCTCTACTAAAAACACAAAAATTAGCCTGGCGTGGTGGTGTGTGCCTGTAATGCCAGCTACCTGGGAGGCTGAGGCAGGAGAATCACTGGAACCCGGGAGGCAGAGGCTGCAGTGAGCCAAGATGGTGCCACTGCACTCCAGCCTGGGCCAAAGAGTCAGACTCCATCTCAAAAAAAAAAAAAAAAAAAAAGTTGGTTTTAGAATTATTTTTAAATTCTCCACAGACAATACACCTTCTTATTACCTGCACCTGGAACAACCATCCCCACTCCCTGCCCATGGTAAGCTGCAGCCTGTGTGTCCTATGTGGGTAAACAGTCCAGCTCTACCAGATTGTAAATGGGGTTGGGGGGTCGGGGTAGAGGGCATGGCGAGTAAGGATTATTTTTCGCATAATAACAGTTTTATGCAGCATGGTTTTGTACAAGAGAAGTGTTTTCTAAATATTTGGCAAATAAATGAATAATTGAATTTGAGTAATAATGAAGAAAATATAAGCAGGAATTTTACAAGAAGACCTTTAGTTTAAACAAGAAGAAAGCAAGCCAGGCACGGTGGCTCATGCCTGTAATCCCAGCACTTTGGGAGGCTGAGGTGGGTGGATCACCTGATGTCAGGAGTTCAAGACCAGCCTGGCCAACATGGTGAAACCCCATCTCTACTAAATATACAAAAAAATAGCTGGGCATGGTGGTGGATGCCTGCAATCCCACCTACTTGGGAGGCTGAGGCAGGAGAATCACTTGAACCCGGGAGGCGGAGGTTGCAGTGAGCCAAGATTGTGCCACTGCACTCCAGCCTGGGTGACAGGGCAAGACTCCGTCTCAAAAAAAAAAAAAAAAAAAGAAGAAGAAGAAGGCATTCCTAATTACCCTGGTTGTAAGATAATACAAAACAGGAAATGACAGCATCATTAGAGATTTAAGGTTTCTTAACTTTTTACGTCTAGGACAGGTTTTGGAAGTCTGGTGAAGTCTGTGGAGTGTCAGAATAATCTTCAACTGCATAAAGTAAAATAAATGGGATTACAAAGGAAAACAATCATATTGAAGTACAGTTGTCAAAATGAAACAAAATGTGTAAGAAGAAGATCTAGTGGTGAGTCTAACCACTACCACTAACTACAAAGTAACCGTGAGCATACATGACATTTTGAAATTTCTGCAACTACTGGAAGATGACACAAATGTGTAAATTCTATTAACAACAGTCACATGTACTACAAATACCGGTGTAGGTTTATTGCCTACATTTATCATTGGAGAAAATGCTAAATTTCAGTTAGAGATTAGTGAAAATGAAATGTAATTTTCTCCTATTTTTGTTTGCCCTTTGGGATCCTGGATGAAGAGCCCTGCATTACACTGGGCACAGTGGCTCATGCCTGCAATCCCAGCTACTAAGGAGGCTGAGGTAGGAGGATCGCTGGAGCCTAGGAAGTTGAGGCTACAGTGAGCCGTGATCGTGCCACTCACTGCACTCCAGCCTCGGCAATAGAGCGAAACCCAGAAAGAAGAAAGAAAAGAAAAGAGAGAGAGAAGGAAGGAAGGAGAAAGAAAGAGAAGAAAGAAGAAAGGAGGGAGGGAGGGAAGGAGGGAGGAAGGAAGGAAGGAAAGAAGGAAAGAAGGAAGGAAGGAAAGAAGGAAAGAAGGAAAGAAAAGAATGAAAGGCCAGGCACGGCAGCTTACTCCTGTAATCCCAGCACTTTGGGAGGCCAAGGCAGGTGGATCACCTGAGGTTGGGAGTTTGAGACGAGCCTGACCAACAAGGAGAAACCCCATCTCTACTAAAAATACAAAATTAGCTGGGCATGGTGGCACATGCCTGTAATCCCAGCTACTCGGGAGGCTGAGGCACGAGAATTGCTTGGCCCAGGGAGGTGGCAGTTGTGGTGAGCTGAGATCGTGCCGTTGCACTCTAGCCTGGGCAACAAGAGTGAAACTCCGTCTCAAAAAAAAAAAGAAAGAAAGAAAAGAAAAGAAAAGAAAGAAAGAAAGAAAGAAAGAAAGAAAGAAAGAAAGAAAGAAAGAAAGAAAGAAAGAAAGAAAGAAGAAAGAAAGAAAGAAAGAAAGAAAGAAGGAAAATAGCTCTGCATGAGAGCCAGTGATGTCTCAGAGTGGGAAGGAAGCCAGGTCAACATGTTGCCCCTACCAACAAGCCCTTAGGTTGACAGGAGGTGCCTCTCCCAGCTTTACATTCAGAGCCAACCTCCCCAGGAGGCTCTTTTCCATCCTAAGCCTTGTTTCAGGGATCAGGGAGTGGCAACTCTCCACATGCCTGCATGCTTCCATCTGAACCAATGTTGAAGGCTCTTCTACTATTCAAAGCCCCTAAGGATGTAACATTTGGAGAAAATATGCTAAAAAGACCTGGTACTCAGAGACAATTTTCTCCAAATGTTTGAATGGGAGCATCAAATGAGTCCCCAGCCTTGAAGGTTGGGTTGGTCTGGGGAGGAAAACTAATTGTCCTTTCAGCTCAGCTATATCATCAGTCCCAAGGCAGACGTTCAGAAGATTCTTTTCTAGTTCATAGGGAAAATGACACTTAATCCTATGAGAGCCCCAAAGGCAGAGGACATGGGATGTGGTATCAGGAACCTGGAAGACATGCTTTTGCAATGGGGTACACAGCACTTAAGTGAGGGAAACCACCAGGAAGTGGCACTGGCCCTGGAATTCCCTTCATGTCACACAGGGACAGAGAGGAAACTAACATTTTCTAAGGACTTATTCCATACCAGGGGCTGCACATTCTGTGTCTTATATCTATTACAAACTGTTTCTTCATAAGGCAGGTGATTTGTTTTTCTTTTCTTCTTTTCTTTCTTTTTTTTTTTTTTTTTGAGACAGGGTCTCCCTCTGTCACCTGGGCTGGAGTCTAGTGGTGCCATCTCGGCTCACTGCAACCTCTGCCTCCCCAAGCAATCCTCCTGCCTCTCAGCCTCCGGAGTAGCTGGGATTACTGGCATGCACCACCACACCCAGCTAATTTTTGTATTTTTGGTAGAGACAGAGTTTCGCCATGTTGCTCAGGCTAGTCTCGAACTCCTGTGCTCAAGTGATCTGCCCACCTCAGCCTCCCAAAGTGCTAGGATTACAGGCGTGGACCACCATGCCCTGCCTGTTTTGTGATCTGCCCGCCTCGGCCTCCCAAAGTGCTGGGATTACAGGCATGAGCCACCACGCCTGGCTAGTGCCTGTATGTGTGTATGTGTGTGTGTATGTATGTATATATATATATATATATATATATATATATATATATATATATATATTTTTTTTTTTTTTTTTTTTTTTTTTTTTTTGAGACAGAATCTTGCTCTTTTGCCCAGACTGGAGTGAAATGGTGTGATCTTGGCTCACTGCCAACTTCTGCCCCCTGAGTTCAAGCAATTCTCCTGCCTCAGCCTCCCAAGTAGTTGGGATTACAGGCACCTGCCACCATGCCTGGCTAATTTTTGTATTTTTAGTAGGGACAGGGTTTTGCCATGTTGGCCAGGCTGGTCTCAAATTCCTGACCTCAGGTGATCCACCTGCCTCAGCCTCCCAAGTAGTTGGGATTACAGGCGCCTGCCACCATGCCTGGCTAATTTTTTTATTTTTAGTAGAGACACGGTTTTGCCATGTTGGCCAGGCTGGTCTCAAATTCCTGACCTCAGGTGATCCACCTGCCTCAGCCTCCCAAAGTGTTAGGATTACAGGCGTGAGCCACCGCACCCAGCCTTTTCATATATATATATATATATATATACTTTTTTTTTTGAGACAGAGTTTCGCTCTTGTTGCCCAGGCTGGAGTGCAATGGCGCAATCTTGGCTCACCACAACCTCCTCTGGGTTAGGGCAATTCTCCTGCCTCAGCCTCTCGAGTAGCTGAGATTACAGGTATGTGCCACCATGCCTAGCTGATTTTTTATATTTTTAGTAGAGATGGGGTTTCTCCATGTTGGTCAGGCTGGTCTTGAACTCCAAAACCGCAGGTGATCCGCCCACCTCAGCCTCCCAAAGTGCTGGGATTACAGGCGTGAGCCACCGCGCAGGGCCTCTTTTCATATATTTTTAACTAAATTAATAAAACAGCTGGGGCAGTGGCTCATGCCTGTAATTCCAACACTTTGGGAGGCCGAGGTAGGAGATCACTTGAGCTCAGGAGTTCAAGACCAGCCTGGGCAACATGGTGAAACCTCGTTTACCAAAAAATACAAAAATTAGCCAGGTGTGGTGGCACATGACTGTAGTCCCAGCTATCCCAGAGGCTGAGGTGGGAGGATTGCTTAAATCCATGAGGTCGAGGCTGCAGTAAACTGTGATCATGCCACTGCATTCCAGCCTGGGTAACTGAGCAAGACTCTGTCTCAAAAAACTAAAAACTAGGCAGGCGTGGTGGCTCATGCCTGTAATCCCAGCACTTTGGGAGGCCGAGGCAGGCAGATCACATGAGGCCAGGAGTTTGAGACCAGCCCAGCCAACATGGCAAACATGTATTTCAGTGTCTACTGAAAATACAAAAATTAGCTGGATGTGGTGGTGCGTGCCAGTAATCCCAGCTACTCAGTAGGCTAAGCCAGGGGAATCGCTTGAACCCGGGAGGCAGAGGTTGCAGTGAGCCGAGATGGTGCCTCTGCACTCCAGCCTGGGCAACAGAGCGAGACCCTGTCTCAAAAACACAAACAAATAAAGAAAACTCCAAAAAACTGAAAAGTAAATAAATAAATAAAACAAAACAAAATGTGGAAGCAATAGCAAAGGCTTGACCTTGCTCCAAAATCACAGGTTTTTTTTAAGCTGTGTTCTTATAAACTTCCAAATGAGATGAAGATAAACTTCTGCTGAGAGGGGCATGGTCATGACTTACAGTTTGGGCAGGACAAAGTATTTTCCATCACACACACACACACACACACACACACACACACACACACACTCACCTTCACACATACGGTGTTATTTCTACTAAGTTGTACTTGATTCTTCTCCAGTGGCTCTGTCTGGAGTTTATTTAATGTTACTAGTTTGCCAATGAATAGACTAAGACAATAAGCAATTTTGCTTTTATTTCTTTATTTTAAAAAACTGCTTGTTAGTCTTATGAGAAAACAAAGTGAAGAATAAAGGTAACTACTGCATGTACCACAGTAGCGAGAGAAAAAAGAGTGTCAATTAATCTAATTGATAGTCAGAGGATTGCATGGCTATTAGTGATGGAGTCGGGATTTGGGCACGTGTACATTTGTTGGATTTTGCAGCCTGGCATCTATATCCCATTTGTCTGGTGGCAAGATCCCATTTTTGCGTTGGGGCCATTATCCTCCAACATTGGGTAGTCTATGGTACTATTCCTCAAGGGACCCTCCCCTTCCTCAGATGAGTGTGAGCACCTGACCCACCCTAAGCCTATTGGAGTTCTCTCTTTTTGATCCAAAGTAGAAGCACTGACCATTGGTGTCTGCTGCCTGGATGCTGGAACTATCCTGGCTTCTGTCCTTTCCAAAGACCGCCTGTTCAGCTTTTCCTTCAGTTCTGTAAATATTTTTTCAATAATTTACTATTACTTATTAATCTGTTGCTTCTCTACAACCGGCTGCCTCCTCAGCTCCATGACTCCCAGCCTGGAGTCATAGAACAAAAGCTGAATGTGGGCACAGAAGGTTCAGCCACTGAGTGCCTATATGGTTTTGAACTCATTATTTGAAATTCAAGCTCATTACCTGAAACAGGAAGAACACCTCCTCATAAGGCTGGTATGTGAATTCAATTAGATGAAATATGTGCTCTCCGAGATCAAGGACTTTGATTTAGTCTCTGCTGAATCCGCAGTGCCTATCACAGAACACAGAGAAGAGCTTCAATAAATGTGTTGGTTTAATGACAACTGCTTCTGAAAACACTTTGTTAACGCTAGTACGTAACATGAATAGCTGTGTCCATTATGTCCAGGGTGAAGTCAGCCAATTTCGATTCTCCTCTCCTTAAAGTTTTGTCTTGCTTTCTCTTTCTTTCCTTGAATCTTCACACTAAATCTACTTTGTTTTTTAATTTTTTAAAAAGAGATAGGGTCTCACTCTGTCACCCAGGCTGGAGTGCAGTAGTGCAATCATAGCTCACTGCAATCTCTAACTCCTGTTCTCAAGCAATCCTCCTGCCTCAGCCTCACAACTAGCTGGGACCACAGGCATGGGCCACCATGCTTGGCTTTTTGCTTTTTTTTTTTTTTTTTTTTGGTAGAGATGGGTCTCCCTATGTTGCCCAGGCTAGTCTCAAACTCCTGTGCTCAAGATCCTCTGGCCTCTGCCTTCCAAAAGGATTACAGGCATGAGTCACCACCCTGGGCCTCTGACTACTTTATTTTAAAGCCCAGCCAATTTATATCTTTTTATTATTATTATTATTATTATTTTTGAGACAGAGTCTCACTGTCACCCAGGCTGGAGTGCAGTGGCCATCTCGGCTCATTACAACCTCCGCCTCCCAGGTTCAAGCGACTCTCCTGACTCAGCCACCCTAGTAGCTGGGATTATAGGCAGGCACCACCACGCCAGGCTAATTTTTGTATTTTTAGTAGAGATGGGTTTTCGCCATATTGGCCAGGCTGGTCTAGAACTCCTGGCCTTAAGGGATCTTCCCGCCTCGGCTTCCCAAAGTTCTGGGATCCCAGGTGTCAGCCACCTCGCCAGGCTGCTTGATATCTTAAAATCAGAAAAGCCACCCATCTTAAGTGGAGGGTGGGTGGGTCCATATTTACAGGAATGGAAGAAAGGAGGATGTTCCCTCTCTTTTGTCCACGTTCAGCAGCTCTGAAATTAATGCCAAGGCGAGCAAACGCCCGCCCCCCACCCCCTGCCGCCCTCGCCTTATGCCGAGACTTTGCTGTTGAACACGAAGTAAACGTTTCCCAGAAAGCCCAGTTTAAGAAACAATTCAGGGCGAGGTGAGGGCACAAAGGTAGAGAAATAAGGGGAAATGATATTTCTTTAAAGAACAGAGATCCCTGAATAGCACCGGGGGCCGTTACAGCCCATGAGGACATCTCCGAGTCCTTCTATATGACACTAGGGACCCCCGTGCCATATACAGACACTGTTCTCAGAGATTAGGAGGGGGAAAGAGGATATTGCCACAGTTCTGTCCTTCGAAATGACTCCAGATGCTTCTGAGTCTGTGAGGCCCCTGTGTCCGTCATCAGCAAAACAAGTGAGGGAGAAGTTTGAGGAGTGATGACCCTAGCAGTTATGGGTTTAAGCCTGGGAATCTTAAGCCACAGAGCAGAGGATTTGGGGGCTGAAGAAAAAGACCCTCCGCAGCTTCAGCGCGAAGAGGGCGGCGGGGACCGGGGTGGTGGGGGTGGAACCTCGCCGCCTTCCGAAGCAGGAGTAAGCTGCAGAGGCTGCGCGGGGGTTTGAGCGGAGCGAGAACAGCTCCTTCCCTTGATCATGCTGCCCTCCGGAGGTCAGTTTAGGTATCGCCGCTCCCTTTCACGCTGTTTTGTCTCTTCACCGTCTGTTCTGGATCATCCTGTCCAGAGAGACCGTTGGGTCAGAGGGTTCCTGTGGACCCCTGGGGCGAGCTTAATGTCCCCGAAAACTGCGTGCTCCAGTATCACTTGAATGCCCACCGGGTTCCGGAATCACGAGTCTCCAGAGCTGTCCCTTCGCCCCACGGCTCACATTCCAGGTCTGCCCCTCAGTGACTTCTGCAACAACACGCGCTTCTCGATCAGCTCTGAGGATTTGGGTTCTGCGACGGACAGGGGAAGGAAAGAAGGAAGGCTGTGAAGAACCGTGGTGCCTGCCTGCACAGCCCTCCTCGCGTGCGAGCATTAGTTGGCTAAAGTCGCCTGTCTCGACAGTCTCCCCTGCGGGGTATCTGGGGACCCTTTCTTTGGGAATCCACGCTCTTTGTCAGAGTAGCCAATGCCTCTCCTGTCCAAAATCTCATACCCTTGGCCCTTCTCCCGTCCTCGCGCTGAGGCTGGAGTCAGGTCAAATGTCAGAACATCTGGATGTCCCAAGAGTGACACCTGGGAGTGGGTGGGCAAGAAACCAGTAGCGGGAAGGGAAAGTGGAGGAGCAGAGGATTCCCGGGGCCGGCGTCTGGGGTGAGCTCGCGGCCCCTCAGAGCCTGGCACATCGCCGCCTGGCATCCGGCAGGCGTGAGGGAACGCATAGCGCAGCGAGTCAGGCGGGGTAAACCCGGAGCAACGCGGAGGCGGTGATCTGGGCAAGGGCGAGGTCAGTTAAGGACGCAGTTCTGGCCCCGCCCTCAAGGCACGCCTGGCCAATCAGGAATCGCTGATTCACCAAGCCTCTCCTCCTGCGCTCGCCCTCTTCTGCACTTCGGTCTCAGGCGCAAACACGTTCAAAGTCGCTAGGCCAAAGCGCTGAGATACGGTTTCCCAAGCCAATTAGAGAGCGGCTCTCGGATATGGGGCGGAACCCTGAAAAGGCGAGAGCTGAGATGCCGCTCCGTTCTGCCTTACCACGCCGCCCCCCAGCGTCCGCCAATTAGGAGAGCCCGGAGCCGGATCCACTCTCAGCCTCAGGAAGCAGCAGCCTCCGCTCCGCGGCGGGTGTGCTCGGCAGTCACAGACCCACTCAGGACACCTCCCGTTGCCGACGGGCTAGACCTGCATCCGAAGGGCCTAAGCGGGGAGGAACCGCTTTCCACCACTCTCCAGGGACCTGGGGAGGGAATGTTTAGGCCGTAGGGGTGGAGGACACAGGAAACGTAACATTTTTCCTTAACTGCGCCTCTCTTCTTAGGCCTTAAAGGGGTCCCCGTGTCTCTCCAGTCTAGAGCCTAAGTTCAAACGAGGCGTATAGGCGAGGACAGCAGGAAGGCTCCAAGTCAAACAAACGGATGGTACGAATTTCGCCTGGTCTAGCCCTGCCCCAACGGTGTGGGTGTGGGTTGGGTGCTGCAGCCCCCGAGCAAGGGGCTGTCACAGCCACAACCAGAGGAGCTATGGAGCTGCTACGGAGGAGGGATTCCAGAGTCAGCTTGGGCTTGTCCCAAGGGAGCCCTTGGGACAGTGTCTGGGGCTGCGCGGCCTGGTTCTCATCCCTTGCAGCATCTGCTATTTTAGCCAGGGGCCACCTTCCTCCAATGGCCTGGGAGTAGCTAGAGGTTAGAGGTTACACCCACCAGAAGGGATGTAAGCCCAGGAAGTAGTCAGAAAGGAAAGGTCATTCTAGAGATGGGGCCACCTGAAAAACCTTCAGGAGGAAGGAGAAAGGAAATGGGATAAGTGTCATGTCATACTAAATATTTATTTTCTGCAGACTGACTTCGGAGTAATTCTTGAGCCAGGAGGGGAGAGGTTAGTGTTCAAATTGCTGAGATCTTAGGTCAAAAAGCTACAGAAAAGAAATCACTTTGAAAAACACAATGACTCAGAGGCAGTCACCCCTTGCCAGCAATTCCAAGAGCTGAGGAGGCTTCATGCCTCAGGACATGGTGACTAGTTGAGTGAACCAGAGATTGAGGCAGTGGTTTTTACAGGGGAAGAAACAAGCCTTGGGTGTATGGGAGCAGGAAAGGAGGGTGACAGACTGGAGAAATGATAAAGGCCATTTTGGAAGCCCACAGGGAAGTGGTCTTGGGAAACCTGAAGACACTGGGATATTCAGAAGGCCAAGGGGATCCAGCTTATCCTGTTGGGCAAGGTGCTGGGAGTGAAGGCAGGTAAGCCATGTCAAGGGCCTGGGAAGCAAGGGGAAAACTGGAAGGGGTACCCCAGGTGAAGAAGGGTATGGAATGGGGTGCAGAAGTCCATGGAGATGACCGGCAGATCTCAGGGCGGTTTCTGGCACATCAGAAGTTGGGCTTATGCTTCTTGAGCTCCACCATAAGGTGGTGAATGTTGATGAGCTCAGCCCGGGCAGGGAGGGCTCGGAGCTGCGGCTGGGACAGCACCCGGTGGAAGCGATGATAGAGCTGGATCAGCTGGGTCAGCGCTCCCTGGTCAAAGAAAGTCATTGAGGGATCAAACCGTAAAATGGTGCTAATAGTGATGATTAAGAATCAGGTTAGGCGGCCAGGCGCAGTGGCTCACACTTGTAATCCCAGCACTGTGGGAGGCCATGGCGGGCAGATCACGAGGTCAGGAATTCGAGACCAGCCTGGCCAACACAGTGAAACCCCATCTCTACTACAAATACGAAAATTAGCTGGTTGTGGTGGCAGGCACCTGTAATCCCAGCTACTTGGGAGGCTGAGGCAGGAAAATCACTTGAACCTGGGAGGCAGAGGTTGCAGTGAGCCGAGACTGTGCCACTGCACTCCAGCCTGGACAACAGAGCTAGACTCTGTCTCAAAAAAAAAACAAAACAAACAAAAAAAAAAGAATCAGGTTAGGGCTCATACAGAACTTTGGGCACAGCTAGTAACTGAAGACCAAGGGTCACTTAGATGATGCTGAGCCCAGCAAAAAGATGGGGAAAATAATTAATGATGGGGGATCTGAGTGGGGCCTGGGACTTGCAGGTCACCTGAATGATACTGGTGCCATTTCTGAAGTTGGTGAAACTCCGCATTACATCCTGACTCAGAGATTCCACTGATGATTTCCAGGAACTACCAAAGCCACGGATCAGCTGAGTTACCCGGGCTAATAGCAGGAGGAAACAGTGTCAGAGAGGGATCTGGCTGATCTTCAACTCCACTAAGTTCTCCCCAAGGTATAGCCATCCTTATCATCAAACCCTCTTTTCTGGTATTCTCTCAATCCAGTCTTTCATACTCTATTCCCCCACCATGTAATCTGCATCCTTTCATTTTTCTTTTCCACTTCCCTTACCACTGATCCCATCATTACCATATTTTCCTCATACCTTCTTCCCCTCGAAGTCGCTCAGCCTGTCCACGCTCAATCAAAGCCTCAGCCTCCTTCACAAATGCCACTAAACCCCCAAAAGGGGGAGACAGCAACTCTTCAATGAATTCCTGGAAAGACACAAACACATATACACAGGTGTCCTGGTGTCAGCAGATTTGCCCAATTCTGGCATCATGACTAATGTAGATCCATCTGAATGGCATCTTTCAGCTGCTGCAAAAGTTAAGGAAAATCCTCTATGGAGAAAAATATCCTCAATCCTAATTTTGGCCCATACAGTTCCCCTGGTTAAGATCAAACAATGAACTCAAAGATCACTAGACACAAAAGAAGGGCAGCTACCAAGAGAGTCAGCAGACACAATAAGCAATAGCTGCTGACCTTAAGAACTATCCGATACGGATAGCAGTTGTACTGTGTGCAATGTCTAAAGTTAAGGATAGGCCGGGCACAGTGGCTCACGCCTGTAATCCCAGCACTTTGGGAGGCTGAGGTGGGCAGATCACCTGAGGTCAGGAGTTCAAGACCAGCCTGGCCAACATGATGAAACCCCATCTCTACTAAAAATACAAAAATTAGCTGGGCATGATGGTGGATGCCTATAATCCCAGCTACTCGGGAGACTGAGGCAAGAGAATCACTTGAACTTGGGAGGCGGAGGTTGCAGTGAGCAGAGATCATGCCACTGCACTCCAGCCTGGATGACAGAGCAAGACTCCGTCTCAAAAAAAAAAAAAAAAAAAAAGGATGTAAAAATGACCAATTAGTAAGAACTATGAGGAATGAACAGACTTGAAAAAAGGAAATTTTTTTAGATATGAAAAGCCAGTTTTAGAAAGTCAACAGATTAACAAGAATTATACAATGAATTAGAATTTATAACTGAAGAAAGGACTCAGAATGTAGCACAGACAGAAGATGGAAAATTTTGAGATAGTAGGAGATACAGAAATCTAATTAATGTATCTAGGCACTGAAATTGATGGCTACTAACATCACAAAGAGAGCCAAGAAGACATTATGTGCTTCCTGATGGAAATACATACCACTACCTCTCAAATATCCCTGTAGAAAAAAAAAAACTAATTTAAATCTGACCAAGCCTTTCCATCTAATTACACACTTATGAGAAATACACCAGACAGAGGAAGTTTGGCCACACCATGGAATGCAGTCAGCAAAATCTAAACTGTACATCATTCTAGATGACAAATGACTCAATAACTCAGTTTCTTCCAAAAATAAATTGCAGAGGAGATGGAAGGGAAATCTATAGACTAAAAAAAGACACATATATGGACTTTATATGGATCCTGATTTGAACCATAAAAATCATTTATGAAGGCCAGGCACAGTGGCTCATGCCTGTAATCCCAGCATTTTGGGAGGCTGAGGCGGGTAGATCACCTGAGGTCAGGAGTTTGAGACCAGCCTGGCCAACATGGTGAAATCCTGTCTCTACTAAAAATACAAAAATTAGCTGGGCGTGGTGGTGGGTGTCTATAATCCCAGCTACTCAGGAGACTGAGGCAGGAGAATTGCTTGAACCCGGGAGGCAGATGTTGGAGTGTGCCAAGATCGGGCCATTGCACTCCAGCCTGGAGGCAACAAGAGTGAAACTGTGTCTCAAAAAAAAAAAAAAAAAAATCACTTATGAAATAACTGGGAAAATCTGAATAGTTATTTTAGATAAGATAATTTTTTTAAGTGTGATAATGTATTGTAGTTTTTAAAACCATCTGTTACCAGGTGTGGTGGCACACACCTGTAGTCCCAGTTACTTAGGAGGCTGAGGTGGGAGGATCACTTGAGCCCAGGAGTTCGAGGCTGCAGGGAGTTATATCATGCTACTACACTCCAGCCTGGGCACTACAGCAAGGCCCTATCTCAAAAATAATTTTCTTAATAAAAATAACATTCTGATACAGATGAAGTGATAATATTCATCTGTATATGTATAAGATTTAATTCAAAGTAACTGGGGGACACAGAAGGAGGATAAGCAATAGGTGTTGGTATAGATGAAACAAAACTGTCCGTGAACTGCTATACACCGAATATCACTGATGATGCCTGGGGGTTCACTATGCTTTTCTAATAGCATAGTGAAATTTCCCATAATAAAATGTTAATTTTTGTTTAATGTAAAAGGGAGATTCAAACAAAAAAACTCATAAAAGCAAACAACCCAGACAGAAAGATCTGGTAAGAAGAAAGTGAAATTATTATTCCATTTAAAAATAAATTATTAATACTAAAATTAGCCAGGTGTGGTGGTGCATGCCTGTAACCCCAGCTACTCAGGGAGACTGAAGCAGAAGAATCACTTGAACCGGGAGGCAGAGGTTGTAGTGAGCCAAGATCATGTCACTGCACTCCAGCCTGGGCGACAGAGCAGCAACTTGTCTCAGTAAATAAATAAATAAATAAATAAATAAAAATTGTATCTTTTCTATTCTTCCCTCAAAATATTCACTTATATCCACTGAGGGTGTCAAATAACTAATATGCTGCAAGGAAGGATCTTTCTATAATCAAGGCATCTTTGTGATGTGATTTTGGACAGAGATTAAATAACCAAATTCAACCTATTACAGTTGCCTAAATGCAGTCTCACACACACATATACAAACAATAATGTAGCAGTGTACGGTGGGGCACAGGGAGTAGACTTGCCAAAGAAAAGTTGAACTAACAGTGATGACCCCTGCTAGGCAGGAGCCATAAATTATATAATGTGTTGTAAGCATGATATATACACCTGATTTTGAAGACTTCATCTTAGAATAAATTTTAAGTATATCTTTTTTTTCTTTTTTTTTTTCGGAAACAGGGTCTTGCTCCATCACCCACGCTGGAGTGCAGTGGCACAATCACAGCTCACTACAACCTCAACTTTCCTGGCTCAGTGATTATCCCACCTCAGCCTCCTGAGTAGCTGGGACTAACAGGCATGTGCCAACATGTCCCACTCATTTTTTTTTTATTTTTTGTAGAGATGGGGTTTCACCATGTTGTCCAGGCTGGTCTCAAACTCCTGGGCTCAAGCGATCCTCCCTGCCTTGGCCTGTGCTGGGATTACAGGTGTGAGCCACCGTGCTGGCCTCAGTACTATTTTTTATTGATTATATGTTGAAATAATAATATTTTGGATGTAGTGGTTTAAAAAATTATTTCATCTGTTTCTCCTTACTTTTTAATGTAGCTTCTAGAAAATTTAAAATTATTTAAGTGGCTCACATTTGTGGCATGCATTATATTCCTATAGGAGTACTGGTCTGGACTTAGATGAACTTTAAGCTTTCTATAACGCAAAAGAGAACACCTTGATAGCAGAGGAGTGACCAGAGGAAACAGTGCACTGGGCTTTAACAATCTTTCCTACGTAGTATGAAGCAGCAGCTGACCAAAAAGGACCAGAAGCATTGATGGCAGCTGGCGAGTCTCTATACCTGGCAAATCCAGTGACAAATCCCAGCTGCTCTCAGCAGAAACAACTGGTTTAAGTGCATCTTTGTGGGTGCCTTAATCTCCTGCAATGATCCCGCCTCAGCCTCCCAAGCAGCTAGAACTACAAATGCATGCCACTACGCCTGGCTTTTTTTTTTTTTTTTTTTTTTTTTTAAAGAAATGGGGTCTTAGCCGGGCATGGTGGCTAACACCTGTAATCCCAGCACTTTGGGAGGCCAAGGCGGGCAGATGACGAGGTCAGATCAAGACCATCCTGGCTAACATGGTGAAACCCCCCGTCTCTACTAAAAATACAAAATACAAAAAAAATACCGGGCATGGTGCTGGGCACCTGTAGTCTCAGCTACTCGGGAGGCTGAGGCAGGAAGAATGGCATGAACCCGGGAGGCGGAGCTTGCAGTGAGCTGAGATTGCACCACTGCACCACTCCAGCCTGGGAGACAGAGGGAGACTCTGTCTAAAAAAAAAAAAAAAAAAAAGAAATGGAGTCTCACTATGTTGCCCAGGCAGATCCCCTCAAACTCTCAAACTCCTGGGCTCAAGAGATTCTCCCATCTCAGCATCCCAAAGTGCTGGGATTACAGGCATGAGCCACAGCACCAGCAACAATTCTTTCAAAATCAGGAATATGAAAAGGGTTCTCACTATCACCTTTCTGTTCAACTTCTAAACATCATCCTGGGAGTGTTAGCCAGTAGAATAAGAAATCAAAAACATAAGATGTTAAAGACAAAAAACTAGAAAAGATTTATTTATTCCTAGTAGAACTAAACATACGTATTATACCCACCTAAAAATATGGCAAACGACTTACAGTGTCTTTGTGCTGAAAATTTAAAAAGGTTATCAAAAGACATTAAAAGACTCTCTTAAAAATTGGAGGAGGAGGCCAGGTGGAGTGGCTCACATCTGTAATCCCAGTTTAGTGAGACACTACAAAAAATTAAATTTTTAAATTTTGTATTCTCTACAGAAAAAAAAAAGCCAAGTGTGGTGCTGTGTGCCTCTAGTCCTAGCTACTCGGGAGGCTGAGACAAGAGAAGCACTTGAACCCAGGAATTCAAGGCTGCAGTGAGCTATGATTGTGCCACTGCACTCCAACCTGAGTGACAGAGCAAAACCTGTCTCAAAAAAAAAAAAAAAAAAAAAAAAAAAAAAAAAAAAAAAAAGGATAGGGAGCCCATGATCATGATCATGGATAGGAAGTTTCAATATCATAAAGTATCAATTCTTCCAAATTAGTCTATAGACAATGTAATTCTAATCAAAATCCTTAAAGACTTTTTAAAATGTGAAAACTTTTCGAGACCAGCCTAGCCAACACGGTGAAACCCCATCTCTACTAAAAATACAAAAATTAGCTGGGTGTGGTGGCACATGCCTGTAATCCTAGCTACTCAGGAGGCTGAGGCAGGAGAATCACTTGAACCCAGGAGGCAGAGGTTGCAGTGCGCTGAGATTGTGGCCCTGCACTCCAGCCTGGGTGACAAGAGTGAGACTCTGTCTAAAAAAAAAAAAAAAGAAAAGAAAAAAAAAGAAAAGAAAAAGATTTTCTATAAATGGTTCTGGGCCAACCATCCACATAAAAAAAAGAAATAGATCCCTACCTCACATCACACACAAAAATTAATTCCAAGTAAATTTGAGACTTAAAGGTAACAAAAAAATTCTCTCTATATATTTGTTTATTCTTTAATTTTATTATTATTTTTTGAGACAGGGTCTCACTCTGTTGCCCAGGCTGGAGTGCAGCAGCACAAACAGGGCTCACTGCAGCCTCGACCTCCCAGGCTCAAGTGATCCTCCCACCTCAGCTACCTGAGTAGCAGAGACTACAGGTGTGTGCCACTATGCTTGGCTAATATATTTTTTTAATTTTTTGTAGAGATGAGGTCTCACTATACTGCCTAGGCTGGTCTCAAACTCCTGGCTTCAAGCAATCTTCCTGCCTTGGCCTCCCAAAGTGCTGGGATTACAGGCTTTAGCCACTGCACCTGGCCAAAATTCTACAATATTAAGAAGAAAATGTAGCATAATATTTTTCTGGCCTTGGAGTAATAAGGAATTTCATTTTTTTTTTTTTTAAACGGAGTCTCACTCTATCACCAGTCTGGAGTGCAGTGGCACGATCTTGGCTCACTGCATCCTCCACCTCCCTGGTTCAAGTGATTCTCCTGCCTCAGCCTCATGAGTAGCTAGGACTACAGGTACGCATCACCACGCCCAGCTAATTTTTTTGTATTTTTAGTAGAGACGAGGTTTCACCATGTTGGCCAGGATGGTCTCGATCCCGTGACCTCGTAATCCACCCGCCTCAGCCTCCCAAAGTACTGGGATTACAGGCGTGAGCCACCACACCCAGCCCAGGAATTTCTTAAACAGGACAAAAATAGTCAGGCGTGGTAGATGGTGGCTGTAAGCCCAGCACTTTGGGAGGCTGATGCGGGAGGATCACTTGAGGCCAGGAGTTTGAGACCAGCCTGGGCAACATAGTGAGACTCTGTCTCTACAAAACAACAACAACAACAAAAATTAGCTGGGCATATGGCACACACCTGTAGTCCTAGTTACTTGGGAGGCTGAGGGAGGAGGGTTGCCTGAGCCCAGGAGGTTGAGGCTACAGTGAGCCATGATCACACTACTGCATTCCAGCTTGGGTGACAGAGCAAGACTGTTACTAAAAACAAAGACATAAAAATGAAGGACAGATAAATTCAATCATATTAAAATTACAAATTTCTTTAATCAAAAAGCAACATTAAAAAAACAAAGGCTGGACGCGGTGGCTCATGCCTGTAATCCCAGCATTTTGGGAGGCTGAGGCGGATGGATCACCTGAGGTCAGGCGTTCAAGACTGGCCTGGCCAACATGGCAAAACCCATCTCTACTAAATATACAAAAATTAGCCGGGCGTGGTAGCACACGCCTGTAATCCCAGCTACTCAGGAGGCTGAGAAAGGATAAGTGCTTGAACCCGGGAGGCAGAGGTGCAGTGAGCTGAGATCACACCATTGCACTCCAGCCTCGGCAACATGAGTGAAACTCCATCTCAAAAAAAAAAAAAAAAAGGTGCAAGGATTTCTTGAGCCCAGGAGCCTGGGCAACACAGAAAGACCCTCATCTCACCAAAAAAAAAAAAAAAAGTAAAAAGATACATACTAAAAGATAATCTGTAACCTACGTATAATCAACAAGATTAGTATGTAGATGATGCAAAGAACTCTTATAAATAAAAAATACTAGCAGACTTATTTTTTTCTTTATTTTTTGAGAGAGTCACGCTCTGTAACTGAGGCTGGAGTGCAGTGGCATAATCTTGGCTCACTGCAACCTCCGCCTCCCAGGTTCAGCGCCCCTGAGGAGCTGGGACTACAGGCATGCGCCACTATGCCTGGTTAATTTTTGTACTTCTAGTAGAGACAGGGTTCTGCCATGCTGGCCAGGCTGGTCTTGAATTACTGGCCTCAACTGATCCATCCGCCTCAGCCTCCCAAAGTGCTGGGATTACAGGTGTACACCCTGCCCAGCCACAAGCCGATTTTTAAAAGGTCAAATGCTATGACAGCCATTTTACAGGAAAAAAAAAAATTGTATAGTTGTGGTGACGCTCCTCACACAGAGCACCAGCTTCAGGGAGTCTGTCCCTTGCAGACCCCTGACCCGGCAACGGATGAATGAGGTACACTGACACACAGATACTCTGCTTTGCCAGTCCAGCTGAGTGTGTCCAGGCTGTTTACAGACTCCCTGAAGAGTACTGTAAACAGTTGCAATGGCGGCCCTGACCAGCTAGTGAGACTCGCATTTATTCAGTAAAGATTAATTGACAAAGACTTGAGTCAACACCACTACGGGGTAACTGACATTGTGGACTTCCTGAGTAGAAAGCAGTTAAGCACCTGCGGTACATCAAAGATTAGTCTTAAGACCATATGAGTAAACAAGCTACCTAGATAACTTCCCCACATTCCTTTGTTATTACTCTAATTTATTTAACTAAAGGTAAAGATCAGGTCGCCTTCAACCATATCTATTACTGAAGTTATGCAAACTCTTAGGCCTTCCAAGAGGGTTTGTGGCTATCATCACTAATATTTTTCCCACCAGCCTGACTGAACCCCTACATATAGTTACTAAACATTTGAAATGATGCTCAATGTTATTAGTAATCAGAAAATTACAAATAAAACCCACTGAAATACAGGTTGAGTATCCCTAATCCAATAATCTGAAATCCAAAATGCTCCAAAATCCGGAAGTTTTTGAGTATCAACATGATGCTCAAAGGTAATGCTCTTTGGAGCATTTCAGATTTCAGATTTTCAGACTACAGATGCTAACCAGTAAAAATAATGCAAGGAATCCAAAATCCGAAAAAAATCAAAATCTGAAACATTTCTGATCCCGAGCATCTTTAGCAGCATCCTTGGTCTCTAAAAAAAAAAAGAAAAAAAATGGCAAAGACCTGATAATACCACATGTTGGAGAAAATGTGGCTCAGTAGGAATTCTTACATATTGCTGGTGAGAAGGAACTACTTAGGAAAACAATTTATCATTGTCTCATAAAGACTAATACTGCATATCTTATTAGCAGCAAGACTACTGTCCTAGGTTTATACCCAAGAGAAACTTTTGATGAAGATAATCAATATCTATGTGTGCTAAAAGACATGATTATTCATAAAACAATGCTCACAGAAGCAAGAAACTGGAAACAATCCATTTATAGAATATGTTTAATCACACAAGTCATATATGGCAGTGAAAAGGAATGAGCTATAGCCATATGCAATAACATGACAATATTAGAAAAATTATGCATGAAAAAAATCCTGTGATTCTGGGGTTTTTTGTTTTGTTTTGCTGTTTGAGACAGGGTCTTGCTGTGTTGCCAAGGGTAGACTACAATGTCATGATCATGGCTCGCTGTAATCTCGAACTCCTGGATTTCAAAGTGGTCCTCTCGCCTTTGTCTCCCAAATAGCTAGAACTACAGGTGCATACCACCATGCCTGGCTTTTTTTTTTTTCTTTTTTGCCTTGCTGTTTTCTTGCCTTGTCTCATCAGTGTTTATATCATTAAAAAATAAAACAACCCAGTGCAGTGGCTGTTTTGTTTTTTAATGATATAAACACTCACAAACACACCACACAATCCAAGTAGCAGCAGCTTGGCAAAAGTCACCATCAAACTATGAAATCCTACTGAAACCATCCCTGTGCTTCTCGTGCACAGGTACTCGTTGATCTAAATGTTGCATTTATTGTGTTCTTGCTTTTTTCCCCCTTTTTTTGTGTGTGTTCTTGCTTTTAAAAGTAAAGCTATATATATGCCAAAACAAAAATTCGTTGTTTTCCAGTGTCATTAAAAACAGAATCTAGGCCGGGTGCAGTGACTCATGCCTATAATCCCAGCACTTTGGGAGGCTGAGGCGGGTGAATCACCTGAGGTCAGGAGTTTTAAGACCAGCTGGGCCAACATGGTGAAACCCCATCTCTACTAAAAATACAAAAATTAGCTGGACATGGTGGCACGTGCCTGCAGTCCCAGCTACTCAGAGGCTGAGGCAGGAGAATCACTTAACCTGGGAGGCGGACGTTGCAGTGAGCTGACATCGTATCGCTGCACTCCAGTGTGGGAGTCAGAGTGAGACTCCGTCTTTAAAAAAAAAAAAGAATCATAAGATTTTTCACTTGAGGGCAGTAATTCAAGACCAGCCCAGGCAACAGTTGTCTTTTGTAAAGACAACTGTCTTTACAAAATTAAAAAATTAGCTGGCACACACCTACAGTAAACTCATTTTTGGTAAAAGTGCCAAGAACATACACTGGGGAAAAGATAGTCTCTTGGTCAGGCACGGTAGCTCACGCCTGTAATCCCAGCACTTGGGAGGCCCAGGTGGGAGGATCACTTGAAGTCAGGAGTTCAAGACAAGCCTGGCTAACATGGTGAAATCCCGTCTCTACTAAAAACACAAAAACTAGCCCGGCGTGGTGGCAGGCATCAGTAATCCCAACTATTCAGGAGGCTGAGGCAGGAGAATCACTTGAACCAAGGAGGCAGAGGTTGCAGTGAGCCAATACTGCACCACTGCACTCCAGCCTAGGTGACAGAGCAAGACTCCGTCTGAAAAAAAAAAAAAGAGAGATAGTCTCTTCAATAATGGTGCTGGGAAAACTGGCTATCCATTACACAGAAGAATGAAACTATACCCCTATCTCTCGCCACATATGAAAACCAAATCAAATGGATTAAAGACTTAAATCTAAGACCAAATTATGAAACTACTACAAGAAAACACTGGGGAAAATCTCCAAGACACGGGTCTGGGCAAAAATTTCTTGAGCCATACCCCACAAGCACAGGCAACCAAAGCAAAAATGGCCAAATGGGATCACGTCAAGTTACAAAGCTTCTGCACAGCTGGGCACGGTGGCTCACGCCTGTAATCCCAGCACTTTGGGAGACAGAGCTGGGCAGATCACCTGAGGTCAGGAGTTTGAGACCAGCCTGACCAACATGGTGAAACCCCATCTCTACTAAAAATACAAAATTAGCCAGGCATGGTGGCACATGCCTGTAATCACAGCTACTCAGGAGGCTGAGGCAGGAAAATTGCTTGAACCTGGGAGGCGGAGGTTGCGGTGAGCTGAGATCGCACCATCGCACTCCAGCCTGGACAACAAGAACAAAACTCCATCTCAAAAAAAAAAAAAAAA
Source organism: Homo sapiens (assembly GCF_000001405.40). Classification (NCBI taxonomy): domain Eukaryota; kingdom Metazoa; phylum Chordata; class Mammalia; order Primates; family Hominidae; genus Homo; species Homo sapiens. The sequence continues at coordinate 4,505,570 of NT_167245.2, forward strand.
AAAAAAAAAAGCTTCTGCACAGCTAAAGAAACAATAAAGTGAAGAGACAAAGAATATTTGCACATCCCATCTGCCAAGGGATTAATAACCAGAATATATAAGGGGCTCAAACAACTCTACATGACAGTCTAATAATCCTATTAAAAAATGGGCAAAAGATTTGAATAGATATTTTTCAAAAGAATACAAATGGCAAACAGACATATATGAAAAGGGGCTCACCATCACTATTATCAGAGAAATACAAATCAAAACTACAATGAGATCTCATCTCACTCCAGTCAGAATGGCTTTTATCCAAAAGACAGGCAATAGCAATGCTGGCAAGGATGTGGAGAAAAGGGAACCCTTATACACTGTTGGTGGGAATGTAGATTAGTACAAACACTTTGGAGAACAGTTTGAAGGTTGCTCAAAAAACTAAAAGTAGAGCTACCATATGATTCAGCAATCCCACTGCTGGGTATATACCCAAAAGAAAGGAAATCAGTACATTGAAGAGATATTTGCACTCCCATGTTTGTTGCAGTATTGTTCACAATAGCTAAGATTTGGAAGCAACCTAAGTGTCCATCAACAGATGAATGGGTAAAGAAAATGTGGGATATATACACAATGGAGTACTACTCAGCCATAAAAAAGAATGAGACTCAGTCATTTGCAACAACATGCATAGAATTGGAAATTATTATATTAAGTGAAATAAGCCAGGCACAGAAAGACAAACGTCATGTGTTCTCACTGATTCGTGGAATCTAAAAATCAAAACAATTGAACTCATGTACTCATGTACGAAGAGAGTAGAAGGATGGCTACCAGAGGCTGGGAAGGCTAGTGGAAGGCTGGGGAGAAGGTGGGGATGATTAATGGGTACAAACAAAAATAGGAAGAATAAATAAGACCTACTATTTGACAGCACAACAGGGTGACTATAGTCAATTATAACTTAATTGTACATTTTAAAATAACTTAGTGTAATCGGATTGTTTATAACACAAAGGATAAATGCTTGAGAGGATAGATAAAGAAAAAAATAAAATTCATTCTAAAAATAAAAAATTAGCTAGGCATGGTGGCTCGCACCTGTGGTCCCAGCTACCCAGGGGGCTAAGGTAGAAGGATCACTTAAGCCCAGGCTGTTGAGGCTGCAGTGAGCCATGTTCATGCCACTGCACTCCAGCCTGGGTGACAGAGTGACACTTTGCCTCAAAAAAAAAAAAAAAAAAAAACCAAAGACAAAATAAAATAAAATAGACCAATAATGACAGTATGTTGTGAATCAAGAGTTACAGTAATTCCGCATACCTGAGATCCATTATGCCACTCCCTACACACACACACACACACACACACACACACAGAGAGAGAGAGAGAGAGAGCTGAAAACAGCACAGAAGGCTGTCTCTTCCCTTTTCCCCACACCCCTACCTGTGTCCGAGCATTGAGCAGCTGCTGGAAGCTCTCAACCTCTTTGCTGTCATCTGCAGCCCGCTCCTAAGGGAAGACAAAGGGAAATGTCTAGTTTGGGGAAAGCAGTCCTTCACTTCAGGATGTCCCCTTCATTCCACACTTATTGTACTAAGCTGGACACTGTGCCAGACTCCAAGAGTAAAACACTGAACAAGACAGGCATCATCTCTGCCCTCACAGAGCTAACAGCAGTGGGGGAAACCGAATTTTCTGGGTAGGAAGGCAAGGAGAAGGAGCACCTATTACCATCAGCACACCCAGCATCATGTCATAGTTGTTGATCAGAAACACAAGCTGCTCCTTCCTTGAGGAGAACTCAGCTGCCACTCGGAGGACAAAATTCTCCACCTCCACCTGAAAAGGCAGAGAGGAAGAGGTGACACCAGAAAGCAAGGTCATCTGGGCCCCATCTGGCTCCTCCTCAGACTCCACCCACTGGAAGCAGCCCTGCTGCTGGGAAGTGTCTCCTGTCCGACCCTCACCTGCAGCTGTCCCAGCAATTGCATGGTCCGTTCATTAGGAATTGTCTGGTTGATACTGACAAGAGCGGAGGAGAACTCTGCATAGCGGCGTGTGATCTAGGAGAGAGTGGGAAGGAAAATCACACCCACCTCCTGGCCCAACCAACACAACCTCCCAACTTCCTTAGCCAACCCACCTCCATGTGATGTGACTCTACCTTCAGTCCCTCCTACCCACAGTGCACCACTCACCATGAGTTTCACCACCCTCCCAGAACACCTGCTCATAGCGTGGCCCATGACACAACTGTGACCTTGGCCAACCCCCACAATGATGCTTAGAGCCCTGCCTTTCAAGAACCCTTTGTTACCCTTGCCCTCCCTCACATAGTGGGGCCGAGTATCCAACCCCCCTAGGCGCTGGGGGTCAGTGCTTCGGACGCTCTGAACATTCATCTCCAGGATCAGTTCAAACCGTGGCCATAGCAAGGCAAGCACCTGTTCCCAGTACCTGTGGGCTTAATCAGAATCAGAGGTCAGCCAGCAAGGAATGTTGGAGGGGGATGGGAGGGAGTGGGGCATCATTCAGTTTAATGGTCAATAGCTAGTTGTGGGGGTTGGGGGGCAGTGGTTGGAGAAAGGTGAGTCAAAAAGCAGCACTACTGCCTCCGGAGCAAATGAATGGGAATAAAGGTTGATGATACCAGGTCAGTAGGAGTCTAAGGTCAGGGCAGAGTCATGCAAGACCAAGAGAGTTCGTGGCCTGTTGGGCATCAAGGACCAGAATTCAGTGACCTGTCCAGGGCAGGAACATCCCTCTTTGCTGCAATGTTACGGAACCGGAGAACAATGTGGATACAGAGAAAAACAGCAATGGCATCGTAGCAGTCAGCTAGATAAGAATCCAGGTGTTTCTGTGTGATTGGGGAACAAACAGAGGATTAAAAGAGAATGTCAGTTTGTTGTCCTCAGTGACTATGAACAAACGCATTTGTTTCTTTGGGGATGATGCACTGGACAGGACAGAAGGGAGAGACGTAAAATGGAACTGCCCCCTGCTTTCCTGTCCAGGATCTATGTTTTTGGCTTTTTTTTTGTTTTTTGAGATAGAGTTTCACTCTTGCCACCCAAGCTGGAATGCAGTGGCACAATCTCGGCTCACTGCAACCTCCGCCTGCCTCCCAGGTTCAAGCAATTCTCCTGCCTCAGCCTCCTGAGTAGCTGGAATTATAGGCGCCTGCCACCACGCCCGACTAATTTTTGTATTTTAGTAGAGATGGGGTTTCATCATGTTGGTCAAGCTGGTCTCGAACTCCTGACCTCAGGCGATCCGCCCACCTCAGCCTCCTAAAGTGCTGGGATTACAGGTGTGAGCCACTGCACCCGGTGTTTTCGGCTTTAGAGACAGGTTGTTTTGTCACCTAGGCTGGATTGTAATGGTACAATCATAGTTCACTGCAGCCTCAAACATCTGGGCTCAAGTGATGTTCCCACCTCAGCCTGCCAAGCAACTGGGACCATGGGTGTGTACCACCATGCCTGGTTAAGTTTATTTTTAAATTTTTTGTAGAGACAAGGTCTTGCCGCATTGCCCAGGCTGGTCTCGAACTCCTGGCCTCAAGCAACCTTCCTGCCTTGGTCTCCCAAAGTACTGGGATTGCAGGCATAAGCCACTGCACCTGGCCACACCAGGATCTATGATCACAAGCCTATCACAGCAGAGTTCAGGGCTGAGCTTGGGTCAGGGGTTTGAGCACCAAGATTTGGGGGACCCTCAGTTTTCACGTGCTATTGCCTGATTGTGGGTCAGCAGTAGGGGTAGTCTCAGGGACCCTACGCACTGAGGATTTCATGGGGGAGTAACACTGTGACAAGTCTAAGTAACAAGTTTTTTTTTTGAGATGGAGTCTCGCTCTGTCACCCAGGCTGGAGTGCAATGGCGCAATCTTGGCTCACTGCAATCTCCTCCTCCCAGGTTCAAGCAATCCTCCTGCCTCAGCCTCCCGAGTAGCTGGGATTACAGGCCGCGCACACCTGGCTAATTTTTGTACTGTTAGTAGAGACAGGGTTTCATCATGTTGGTCAGGCTGGTCTCAAACTCCTGACCTTGTGATCCTCCCGCCTCAGCCTCCCAAAGTGCTGGGATTACAGGCGTAAGCCACTGCACCTGGCTATTTTTTTTTTTTTTTTTTTTTGAGACAGGTCTCACTCTGGAGTGCATGGCTCACTGCAGCCTTGACCTCCTGGGCTCAAGCAATCCTTCCACCTCAGCATCTTTAGTAGCTGTGACCACAGGCACACATCAACACACACCCGGCTAATTTTTCATTTTTTGTAGAGATGAGGTTGTTGCCCAGGCTGGTCTCAAACTCCTGAGCTCAGGCAATCCTACTGCCTTGGACTCCCAAAGTGCTGGGATTATGGGTGTGCACTACCACGCCCAGCCAAGGCTTAGACATTTTAGAATGAGGCGATCCTGATTTCAGTTCTACCAGAGTCATGACCCCACTATGCTGCTGATGAAGACTGGGGACAAAGGTGTTGAATGGTACAGGAAACAGGAGTCTTACCAGGGTCATGCTGAGTGTACGGCCCATGACAGCATGGAACAGGTCGTGTGCAGCTGGGCCAGACACAACAAAAAATTCACAGATGAAAAGGTATTCGCGGCAGGAATTGTCTAGGAGGGCGTAGTGCTGGCTGCGGAAGAGGGCCTCAAATGGATACTGGGAGAGGAGGAGTAAAGAAGAAAAACAGAAGGGATGGACCCCAACACTGACTTCCCATGGATATGGCTGGAAAATCAGTAAACCTGAGTAATAAGAGCTAGGCAGACCCTTCGCATCTATCTAGGTCCGGGCTGTCTAAGAGCAAGCTGAATGGGCACTGAAAAGGTGGGGGAACATAGGGGTACAAAAAGGGCCTACACCCACCTGCTGTTGCTACTCCTGCATCCACCTCAACACCTGCCTCTGACTGTCATTCCCCTCATCCAGTCTCTCCCCTCTGCATGCCCTTAAGTCAATGGTTCCCAGCTCTTTTCACATCACAGCAGGCTGGAGTGATTGGAGAAGGCCACTCCCAAGTCTAAGGGGATTAAGACAGGGCCTGCAGGTTGGGAAGCTCTGCCCTGAGGTCTGGCCTTCCCTCCCCACCGTGCTCAGAGCCTCTTTCGTGACTGAAGCTTGTTCCTCCTCATACCCTCTGCTCTCCGCGCTGCGCTGTGTGAGGCACCAGGATGGGGGCCTCAAGTTCAGTGGGGGAGATGACAGAGCCGCGGGTTCCTAGGGTGAAAATGGTGTTCCTGCTGCGGAGCGATGGCTTTGAGAAGAATCGTAAGATGGGTCAGAGTCAGGGAAAACAATGAGACCATAACTGGGCCCAAAGACTCACTATCTGTGGGGACCCCAGACAGGCAGACGTGGCCTAGCCAGCCCTCTTTCCCAGTACTAGGGCCCCACGTGCTGACATCTGTGAATGGGCTTCAGGGTGTCTCTCCCTCCCTTGCAATCATATGCAAAACTATGTGTCAAAATAATGTGTGCATCTTTCTGGGGAGGGAGGCTATAGCTTTCATCACATTCTAAAAGGTTTCAGTCCCATAGGAAAAGGTAAGGAGCAGTGCATTGGTGGCTGGAGTCGAAAGTCCTCCCACTCTCAAGGCCTGGCATGAGGGTTCCCCAGTACTAGGATATCTTTCTTTGCTGTATCTTCCACACCCATTAGATCATCTTTCTCAGCGACTTCCTCATACTAAGGAAAGAGAAAAGAGAACTGATAACCGTCTCTTCCCACAACACAATAAAATATTCCTTGCCCAGGGATGTCCCCTCCTCCCAGTCCATGTGCCCAGGAATACCTCTCCCTCCTGACCTTACCTGCACCTTCATGAGCCGCCCCAGGTAAGAGCGGTAGTAAGACAGGTAAATCTTGCTCAGCGTCTCCACATATTCATCCCTGATCTCCTTTGCTGTTGCTCGTTCATTGCCCAGCAGAAACTGATAGAAGAACCTAGGGGGTCAGGAACATGTCAGTCTACCTGTCTCCCAAGAAACCAGATGCCCACACTAGGCCGCTCAAAAACTCAAAGGCCATCCCATGCACTTCCTTGGGGTTGTGACCTGTACTTCAGCAGGGCCGTCTGGGGGATCTGATAGTTGGTCATGGGTTTCCTGAAGGAATAAATCTTCTGGAGGATAAACTCTCGGATCTTCGTCACTGCCTAGATGTGGGGAACCAAACACAGGGCATGAAGCTGCAACCCTTTTGCTGTATGAGAGGAACTGGGGGAAGCAACAAATGGTAAACATAGGCAGAAGGGTGGTGAATATCTCTTTGGTATTTCTCAAGATTTTCAGGGAAACCCAGAGAGACAAGAATGGGGCTGCCCAGAAAAGGCAGGGTGAAGTCCCTGGAGACAGGCTACAGTGAGCTCTGCCAAGGAAATCCATAGTGAAGATCTTGGGAAGGCTGCTTCCAGTAGCCTCCAGGGTATCCATCCCTACTTCCCACCTTGACCCGGAGCCGATCGAGCACGCCTCTGACATCTGCGCAGGCTGCTGTGCCTCTAGCTTCCTGCTCTCTGACTGCGGCTGCCTTGGCATCCAGCTCCTGTAGCTGCTCCAAGAACCTGGGCTCTGTCACTGGAGCCTCCAGAATTGCCCTGGTTAGCAGGGAGGGGTGGGATGAGTTACAAGGGAGACCCAGACATCCCTAAACCAGACCCAGACCACACTCCTTACCTCCAGCCCCTGTCATCTCTACCACCTTGCATTGTACCATATAGTCAGGACACATGTACAAAGTTTTCTATTCCTGGACCTCCCCACTATACACCTGATCTTACATCATTCTTAATCTTAATCTTTGATGCCTAATGCATACCTAAAGAAATGGTGGTTAACCTGGCTACTAATTTCTAAAAAGCACTTAACCTGGAGCCAGGAGACCCATATGGTAAATAGGGTGGGTCACCCCAGCCCATCCACCTGCTATGGACATTATAACCCTTCAAACTGGTAACTCACGTGACCAGAGCAGAAGGCACCACCAGACCATCAACAAGCTCCCCAAGTTTCCCCCGAACTGCCTGGCGATTTCGAAGTCGAATGTTCATGGCTCCTGACTGTTCCTGCAGTGTCCGGATCTCAGAGCTGATGGAGCTGAGGTCACTCTGAAAAGCTCCCAACATCTGCTCCATTCGCTGTAGGGAGGGTAGATGTTGCCGGAGTGCTATAGGGTTTGTAGGGGATAAGTGGGCCACCAAAGACTCTTTGTGAAGTCTTCAGTATTTATCAGTCCTTGAGGGTGGCAGATGATGAGACACCCCAGATTATCAGGAAATAACATTAAATATGGCAGTAATAACAAAAAAGGCTCCTGAAGTCATCTTGAAAATGACCCTAACCTGTCCCCATCTTGAGGCTGATGACCTAAAAATGGCACCAGAGTCCATGATCTGGTTCAGAGTAGCTATTAGGGGTCACAGGTCATGATTACTAACCTCCAGGACAGCATCACAGGCTGTGATCTGGTTGTGTAGAGATGCTATATTCTCACTCTCTTGAATATCTGATCCACAAAAAGTCAAGGGGCCTCATGGTGAAGATGGGAGATCCTCAGATTTGTAGTACCTCTCCAATTTCTCTTTGAAGTGATAGAAACCTCAGAGATGTTGACCCCAGCTGGGACATCTGTACCACACGCCACAAAATCCCCATGTCAATAGCACCACCCCTTCCCTCTGCTGGAGGATACAATCCCGAATGGATTTCTGTTCAATCTGCTGTAGCTCCAGCTCAACTTGCTTTGAATAGTGACGGAGATCTACACCCTGGGAGAACATAAAGATGACAGGTCAGAAGGAAGTCTCAGTAAAGGGACACTGTAACAGAATCAGTGAAGGACTAAAGGGTCAGATACCAGGCTGATACAACAAAAGCAAGAGACTGTTGTTTTTCCTTTTGGGGTAGAATAGATAGAAGGGCAGATTAGTACAGGGGAAAGCCTCACCGTTTTAAGAGCTTCCTTTACTAACTCATCCTCCAGATTTGCCTGAATGTGAACTGGAAATAGAAGTTTATCATAAGGGTCCAGCTCCACAGCTCCCTCTCCCCACATTGAGTATCTGCACACCAATCCCTACCTTATTCCTTCCAGCCCCCATGCCTCTCAGATTACAGGTACTGCACCCACCCCATGCCATCGCTTACCATCCACTTCATCCAGGATGAATTCATCAGAAGTGATATCCAACTCCCCAAGTTGCAGTGGTTCCTGGAGCCCAGGACCACCCGCCTGGAAAGGGATAAGTTAATGGGAGTAGGGTACGGTGAAAGACAGAAAGAAAAAATATAATTGGATATCCCCAGTCCTTCAAGTGAGAAGGAGCTGCTTTTACTGGGAGCCACAGGTACTGCTTTGAAAAATTCTAAGAGTCTCACGTTGTACCCACTCTCCTATTTTGTGCTGATGGGTAAGGAATACGACAAGGAGTGAGACGATCCAGTGAGACAGTGGAGGTAGCCCAGCATGGTGGTGGGCTCCTTGTAGTCCCAACTACTTAGAAGCTGAGACGGGAAGATTGTTTGAGGAGATCAGGAGTTCAAGGTCAACCTGGGTAACACAGGGAAACCCGTCTAAAGAAAACAAAAAAAGGTAAAAGACAAGACAGTGCAGTGGAGGCCGGACGCAGTGGCTCACGCCTGTAATCCCAGCACTTTGGGAGGCCGAGGTGGGAAGATCACGAGGTCAGGAGATCGAGACCATCCTGGCTAACACAGTGAAACCCCGTCTCTACTAAAAAATACAAAAAATTAGCCGGGCGCGGTGGCGGGCGCCTGTAGTCCCAGCTACTTGGGAGGTTGAGGCAGGAGAATGGCGTGAACCCGGAAGGTGGAGCTTGCAGTGAGCCAAGATCGCGCCACTGCACTCCAGCCTGGGCGACAGAGCAAGACTCCGTCTCAAAAAAAAAAAAAAAAAAAAAAAAGTGCAGTGGAGATGACCGAATGAGGAAAGCTAGGAATTGCAGAGGATAGAGCAGAACTTGCACTTAAATTTAAGACCCTCAGACTCCTGCCATCTTGGGTGTTCTATCACACCTCTGGGGAACCCCAGGCTTTCTAGAAATGTCAAAACACATAGTGTTTACCTGCATGCCAGGTGCAATCTTACACATATTCATCTAATCCTAACGACGATGTATACAATAGGTTCTATCTTCCTCACCTTAAAGGTGTGAGAAATGATGGCACAGAGAAGCTGGTTAACTTGCCCAAGGGCACACAGCGTGTAAGTGGCAGAGATAGAACTCAGGCAGTCTGGCTTCAGAGGCCATGTTCTTAACCTTTACACTATACTACTTCGTGACTCTACCCCAAAATGTGGAGTGAAGTTGAAATTTTGTGCCCCAGAACATGAGTTTCAGCCACTAGGGTCCCGCTCAGGGTCGGGTCTGATCACAGGGAAGGGTACGGGGAGCCAAACAGGTAATATCACGGGTAGCAGCCAAGTTCCCACCCTTGTGCCTAAACCCAGCTCAGGTCTTTCTGAAGCTAGGAGCACCGGAACTACGGAGGAGAAACAGCTCCGCGCTCTCACCAGCGGGCCCTCTTCCTCCTCCATATCTGAGGTCCCAGCCCGCAACACCAGTTCCCGGGCCGCAGCCGCCATGGTCGCAGCGGCGGCCATTCCCCGCAGCCTCACTTCCGGCAACTGTCAGTCCCGGCGAGTCCGTTCCCCGGAGTGGAGCTACAAGTCCCAAAGGGTCTTCCTCAGCGCGAAATCGTTCCCAGATATTTGAGTTAAGTTGTTTGACTCCAGCTGTCCCCTTTCAGCTCTAACCACTTCACCCAACTGCAAATGGAAATATGGAAGTCTGAAACACAAACTAGCCCCGGAACCTTCGCTGTTCTCTTACCTATGAACCTTACGAACTGTAAAGAAAGGCGCACCGGAAGTTGTGGTACCCAAGCCATACTCTCATAAATCCAGCCAGGTCGCGCTGAAACAGTTTCCGGAAGCACTTCTCCTAGATCGCACCGCCTCTTCCTCCTGGAAGCTATATAATGATATCGCGTCACTTCCGCTCTCTCTTCCACAGGAGGCCTACACGCCGCCGCTTGTGCTGCAGCCATGGTAAGACTGGAATCCGTGCCGTGATCCAGCGGCATCGCAGCTCGGGCAAGGAAAGCCGGCTGTCAGGGTTCTGGAAACGTCCTGCCCTGAGGGCCTGCGACTTTCTGTATGGAGCCTTGGATCGCGTCCCTGGAAAGGGACACCAAAGATTTCCAATTCCGGAGAGCGGGCCCGAGGAAGGGTCACTGCTCGGGCGCACGAAAGCTGTCTAAGGCTTGGGCGTATATGGGGAACTCTGGCTTTTGCCACGCACTTTTGGGAATGGGCAGGAGACCTGCTTCCTCTCTCCAGAGGTTGCATTTTCCCAAGCTTGAACGCTTCATGTGCCTACTCTGCAGGACTGAGGAGTTTGCTCTGTGGTGTGAAAACCTAAGGAATGGGGGGCGGGTGTCTTGCCACTTGTGTGACAGGCTTAACCTTTTTGTATGAAGTTCGTTTGCCTTATCGGCCTTACTGTTTGATAGTTTACTGTGTCTGATTTCTTCCCCCGTACTTTTTCAACTAGTCTCTAGTGATCCCTGAAAAGTTCCAGCATATTTTGCGAGTACTCAACACCAACATCGATGGGCGGCGGAAAATAGCCTTTGCCATCACTGCCATTAAGGTAAGTGAAGTAGGGTAAGGAATAGGGAATGTAAATGAGAATTGGGTTGTGAAGACATAAGCAAAAATGAAGCAAGGCTGGGGAGACTTGAGTCTCATCCAGATCACCTTGACTGCTGGATTAAGAAAAGAAAGTGGTTTAGGGAGAGACTGACCCCTTTAGCATTTACCACAGAAAATAAGTGATTAAAGCCAAGATAGTGGTCTAAGGTCAAGCCAAAACATTTCACCTGGGGAAGTGGGGAGGAGGTATGGTTGCTCACCCGAATTCGCTAAGATTTTCCTGAACCACGAGCTTGTGAGATTTCTTCTAGATTCGGTTTCTTTACCCATCCCACCATCATAACAGCAACCCTTCCTGCGAAATTTATATTCCCTGAGAATTGGAGGATTATTGGGCATCTTGAGGGATAAGTAGAAATACCAACAGATAAAAAGTGTGAAGAAGCCTGTAGATGGAGGGTGGAAGAAGTCTGAGTGGGACATTTACTCAGATGAGCCATAATTGACACTCCTTTCCTGTCGAAGTGTGAAGGAGTACATCCATCTTTCTTTGGCTTTTAAGAATCGAATCAATGAATGCAAGAATATTATTTCACTTGAGTATTTCTCTCCACAAACCTAATGAATTCTTGGCTTTCTAGATACATAACGTTCTTTTTTTTTCCCTTAAGTCAGAATGTGTAGTTAGTTGTGGAAATAGCCTACCAGTATGTGTCCATGCGTGCAGGGCTAGGCCTGTCTTCTTGGCTTCTGTTGCATGGTAGGTACTTAGGCGACGTTAGGGAATGGATAGTAGTAGGGATACTGTTGGCTCTGTTGAGGAATTTGTAGAGGGAAATTCCTTCTGTTGGGTGCTCTGTGAAACTAATAAGGCAGTGTGAAATACTGTACTTATTTCAGAGACCGGCTGTGAGGCTTAAGTAGAGGTGCAGCATTCATAAGTGTAATAGAGAATAACCTTCATGGATGTATCTAACTAAAAATTAGAAATCTTATTTCATCTATATCTCTTCCCACACCCATTTTGAAGTAAATCTTTTCACTTGTAAACATATAATTAAATTTGAGGCTTAGTGCAGTGGCTCACTCGGAGGCTGAAGTGGGCGGATCCCCTGAGGTCAGGAGTTCGAGACCAGCCTGGTCAACATGGTGAAACCTCGTCATTTAATTAATAAATTTGAAAGACCCTGCTCTCTTCTGAATCAACCTAATAATTTGACCCTTGGTCATGTTTATTTATTTATCCCGAGACAGAGTCTCACCCCGTCACCCAGGCCGGAGTGCAATGGTGCAATCTTATCTCACTGCAACCTCAGCCTCCCAAGTAGCTGAGATTACAGGCACACGCCCAGCTAATTTTTGTATTTTTAGAAGAGATGGGGTTTCACCATGTTGGTCAAACTGGTCTTAAACTTCTGACCTCAGGTGATCCACCCACCTCAGCCTCCCAAAGTGCTGGGATTATAGGCGTGAGCCACTGCACCCAGCCACATTTATTTTTTGAGACTGTCGCCCAGGCTGGAGTGGCGGAATCACTCTTCACTGCAGCCTCGACCTCCAGGGCTCAAGTCAATCCTCCTACCTCAACTTTCCAAGTAGTTGGGGCTACAGGTGTGCACCACCACATCTGGCTAATCTGGATCTTGCTGTGTTGTCCAGGCTGGTCTTGAACTCCTGGGCTCAGTGATCCTCCAGCCTCAGCCTCCTAAAGTGCTGGGATTACAGGCATATAGGCATGAGCCACGGTGAAGCCAACCCTTGATCTCTTTCTTGCAGATAGGAACTGCCATTTGTTTTAGTTTCCTGGAGCCTACTGTAACAAGTTCATATAAACTAAGCAGAAAATTACTCTTGGCGCTGGAGGCACTTAAGAATCCTACCTTGCCTCTTCCTGTCTTCTGGTGGTTGTCAGTAATCCTTAGTGTTCCTTGGCTTGTAGCTGCATTACTCCAATCTGTTGCTGTCATCTCATGGTCCTCTTCGTGTCTCTCTCATGATTTGTCATTGGATCTAGAGCCCACCCTAATCAAATATAACGTCATTTTACCTAATTATTTCCGTAACGACCTTATTTCCAAATAGGGCCACATTCTGATGTTCTAGTTGGACAAAATGAGGGGCAGGGCTCAGTATTCAGTTCCTCCTTCACTCTCCAAATCACTTTGGTTCATGAGTTCAGATGGCATGGGTGCTAGTGCTGGTGTTGATGTGATGCTACCAATGTAAGCATTAGTTTCTTTTTATAATAACTTGGGCAGTCAGTTCTGGGCACTGACAAAATTGAGTTTGTGATCTTGGAATACTTTGATTATGGGGATACAGTGATTTGCCTAAATAATTGTGACCCTTAGAGATTCTGAGGAACTGACAGCCCAATACCTTAATCAAAGCCTGTAACTCATAAGACCCTGGTTTACTGCATCAGCTTGGAGTGGCAGGCCCCTTGTTCTCCTAAATGCAAGAATCAGAAGGCACTTAGTGACAACTACATATGCTGAGCAATGGGGGAAAAAAAAGATACTGCCTGCTTTCAAAGGGTTGTCTGTAATACTAAATTCTGTGTTCATGATTCAGTCATACCCCTGAACAAAGTTACTTTTTTCTTTTTTTGAGACGGGGTCTCACTGTCGCCCAGGTTAGAGTGTGGTTGCGTGATCTTGGCTTGCTGCAACCTCCACCTCCTAGGTTCAAGCTATTCTGCTGCAGCCTCCCAAGTAGCTGGGATTACAGGCACCTGCCACCATGCTCAGCAACTTTTCTTGTATTTTTAGTAGAGACAGGGTTTCACCATGTTGGCCAGGCTGGTTTTGAACTCCTGCCCTCAATGTCATCTGCCCACTTGGGCCTCCCAAAGTGCTGGGATTACAGGCGTGAGCCACTGCGACCGGCCCAAAGTTAACCTTCTGTCGAACGGTTTATATCTGGAAAGGTGGGTGAGGAAAGGGTGACCTAGGGGATTGCAAAATAGATTATTGCAGATCCTACCTTTGTGAGCTTTTTGAATGAGGCTATAAAGGAATTTAAAAATCAGATTCAACACTAATTCCGAAACCCCTCACTTCATTCAGGGTGTGGGCCGAAGATATGCTCATGTGGTGTTGAGGAAAGCAGACATTGACCTCACCAAGAGGGCGGGAGAACTCACTGAGGATGAGGTGAGGACAAGGAAGGGGGCTGGGGGTGGGGTCAGCCTCAGAAAGGGGTCCATCTAGATCTGACCTTGGTCTGCCTGCCAGGTGGAACGTGTGATCACCATTATGCAGAATCCACGCCAGTACAAGATCCCAGACTGGTTCTTGAACAGACAGAAGGATGTAAAGGATGGAAAATACAGCCAGGTGTGTACTGAAATGAGGGCAGGATTAGAGGAAGGGTGGAGGGTCCTAACAGAATTGGGCATAGGAGGTCAGGGGATAAAACATCCCTTGCCCCCTCCTCTGAATCCAGGTCCTAGCCAATGGTCTGGACAACAAGCTCCGTGAAGACCTGGAGCGACTGAAGAAGATTCGGGCCCATAGAGGGCTGCGTCACTTCTGGGGGTGAGTGGGGGGTCTCATCTCCCTGCCTACCTCGACTCAGCATTCCTCCTACTCGCTCTTCTTTTTCCCCAACCTTTTGTTTCTGCTGTGCATGACCTGTGACTCTTCTCTTTTTACCTGCAGCCTTCGTGTCCGAGGCCAGCACACCAAGACCACTGGCCGCCGTGGCCGCACCGTGGGTGTGTCCAAGAAGAAATAAGTCTGTAGGCCTTGTCTGTTAATAAATAGTTTATATACCTATGGCTTCCTGTCCTTTCTGTCCATTCTAATAGGGAATGTTAAAGTGCTGGGTCCTTTTTCCATTTAGAGCTGCCCTACTCAGTTGCCCACACAGTGCTATTAGTTTTAGCAGTGGTGATGCTGCAGACCCCCCAGTCTCCCTATATGTAGCTAGTGATGTCCCTCTCTGTAAAGAGAAATGTGAGGGTAAAACAGTTCAGCCTTGAGGGGCTGACCCAGACCAGTTTAGAGACCAACACCCTGGGGTTGGTGTGCAGCATCATTGTGGAGTGGGTTAGCTGAGCCTAGCCAGTTGCAGTTAAGGTGAGTTTGCAGGTCTTGGTCACTCTGGGTTTTTTTGTTTTTGTTTTTGTTTTCTTTTAAGGGGTCATCTAGTCATAAGGGAAAATCCTTCGGGCTGTGACCGAAGCAACAAAGGCAAAAACGCGGACGTTGGTTATGAAGGGTGTGGTCTCCCTGGTGGAGTACGTCGGTGGGTTGGGATGGGGAGCGGCTGGACAGACCGGTCTCACTCCGTTTGGTGCCACTCCACCCGCCCGGGTTTCCGCGCCCTGCCGCGCTGCTCCGACGCCGCTTCCGGCGGGGATGGGAGCGCGCAACGCGGAAGCGGGCGGCAGACCGGCCGCCGGGGCGAGGCGGGGGAGGGGCCGTGAGTGCCGCAGTCGGCCAGCCATGGAGCGGAGCTTGCTGGCGGCGAGGCCGCGGCGACAAGGTAGCCACCCCCGCAGCATGCCTCGACCGCGGTCCGCAGCTGCACCGCCTCTCCCCGCCCCCCAGGGTGCGCTGGTCCCGGTCGCGCGCTCAGACCTCCGCATCCCGGGCGTGGTCGGTTAAGTCCCCGGCCGTGACCCAGGCCCGGGGAGCTAGTCTCCGCCCTTCGCTCTTACGGATCCCCTCGGAGTACGCCGCACCATGCAGCTCAGGCTCTTCCGGCGCCTCCTTCTCGCCGCTTTGCTGCTGGTGATCGTCTGGACCCTCTTCGGGCCTTCGGGGTTGGGGGAGGAGCTGCTGAGCCTCTCACTAGCCTCCCTGCTCCCAGCCCCCGCCTCACCGGGGCCGCCCCTGGCCCTGCCCCGCCTCTTGATCCCCAACCAGGAAGCTTGCAGTGGTCCCGGGGCCCCTCCCTTCCTGCTCATCCTGGTGTGCACGGCTCCGGAGAACCTGAACCAGAGAAACGCCATTCGGGCTTCGTGGGGCGGGCTGCGCGAGGCCCGGGGGCTCAGGGTACAGACGCTATTCTTGCTGGGAGAGCCGAACGCACAGCACCCCGTGTGGGGTTCCCAGGGGAGTGACCTGGCCTCGGAGTCAGCAGCCCAGGGGGATATCTTGCAGGCCGCCTTCCAGGACTCCTACCGCAACCTCACCCTAAAGACCCTCAGCGGGCTGAACTGGGCTGAGAAACACTGCCCCATGGCCCGATACGTCCTCAAGACGGACGATGATGTGTATGTCAACGTCCCTGAACTGGTATCAGAGCTGGTCTTGCGAGGGGGCCGTTGGGGGCAATGGGAGAGAAGCACGGAACCCCAGAGAGAGGCTGAGCAGGAAGGAGGCCAGGTTTTGCACAGCGAGGAAGTGCCTCTTCTGTACTTGGGCCGGGTGCACTGGCGCGTGAACCCCTCTCGGACACCGGGGGGCAGGCACCGCGTATCAGAGGAGCAGTGGCCTCACACCTGGGGCCCCTTTCCACCCTATGCCTCAGGCACGGGGTATGTGCTGTCAGCGTCTGCTGTGCAGCTCATTCTCAAGGTGGCCAGCCGGGCACCCCTTCTCCCATTAGAGGATGTCTTTGTGGGGGTAAGTGCCCGACGAGGAGGCCTCGCCCCAACACAGTGTGTCAAGCTGGCTGGTGCCACCCACTACCCGCTAGACCGGTGCTGCTATGGGAAATTCCTGCTGACGTCCCACAGGCTGGACCCCTGGAAGATGCAGGAAGCCTGGAAGCTGGTGGGTGGCTCTGACGGGGAAAGGACTGCGCCCTTTTGCTCCTGGTTCCAGGGAGTCCTGGGCATCCTGCGGTGTCGAGCAATAGCCTGGCTTCAGAGCTGAGAGTGCCTGGGGCCACAGGAAAGGCAGGAACAGGACCTTCTCTCTCCCAGGCCCAACGCAGGGGCCCTCACTGGCTGCAGCTGATCTGTTTCCTTATACCAGATCCTCAGTCTCACTAAAGACAGCGATATGGGAGACACCCAGGGGCCTGGCCCGCCAGCCCAAAAGATGGTCATCGGGAAGAGAAAAAGAAAAAAATGCTGCAGTTGTTCTCTCAAGCTAGGGCAGAAGAGGGGTGTCAAGCTCCTCAATAAACTTGTCTCCACTTCTTCGAGTGCAGTGTGGTCTTCACCAGGACCCCCAGAACACCACAAACCTGGAGAGCCCAGAGGCTGCCAGACCCTGCTGCATGGGAAGGACATCTCCAGGGACATGGGAGAGAGGACAGCCTCTCTGAGGAGGAAGGCCCCTAAAAGGCAAAGCTAAGGCCACAGCAGCCACAAGGTATGGGGTGGGGGTAGAGGCAGGACACTGACCCCTCCGATCCTAGAATGGCCTCATGCTTGGCAAGGGGGAGGGGAACAGGTCCACAAGATGATCCAGACACATTATCCAAAAAATCGCTTTCCTCTTTAATACCAACCCACCCCAGGAGACAGCTGTCCACCCCCAGTTGGGGAAGGGGCCACACTGCCCCCACCTCCTTGTTCCAGGGAACACTCATTTCCCTACAGGTGATCTTGGGGAGAGACTGTTCCCAGGCAACCCTGGAGTCTGGCTCAGCGCACAAATCTGTCCAGGGCAGATGGCCGGGCCCCCGTGGGCTTGGCCTTCGCCTCCTTATGATGCTGCTGCTGAAGGCTCTGCCGGACCTTGTCCTGGGGACCGGAGACGGGGAGGACACAGGCACAGAGTGAGAAGTGGCAGGCTGACAAGGGCAGAGGCACAAGCAGGAGGGTGCAGCCTGTGGAAGGCCCGGCCCATGCCAATGCTCATTTACCCTGTGTTCCTCATCCATGACCTTCCTCTTCCTCTTCACCAGGCTTGCCGTGGAGCTGCGGCCCTTCTGCTTTGGCTTTGGCTGGAAGGGAGCCTTAGCCTGCGGGTCATAGCCCTGAGGGAGGGGACAGGAGTGATATCTGTTACAGCCTCGGAGTCAGGGAACTGGCAGCACCCACCTGCTGGCCGCACTTCTGGGGACAAGCCATGGTGGGGAGAGGATGTGGGGGAGAAGACGGGCCTGGGCATTCAGGGGCCTGCTCCATACCAGCCTCTCTATCTGCTCCTTCTTTCCCTGCTCCAGGGAGATGACATCCACCTCGGCCAGGGCTCGTGGGTCCAGACAAATAAGCTCTGCAGGTACCTGGGGGTGTCACAGAGGGACAGGACTCAGCAAGGAGCCACAGGAGGGTAGCACCAAAAAGAGAAGCCAGGGAGGCTGCTGAACCCCTCTACCCAAGACCCCCAGCATGAGACATCAGGAGAGCTTTCTCTACCTCCAACCCCAAACCACACCTTCCCCAGCAGCAGGGGCCTCACTCTCTGCAGCAGGGGAACCTCACCTCCAACAGGGGCAATCTCACCCTCTCCAGCAGGGGGGAACCTGACCCTCTCCAGGAGAGGGAATTTCACCCTCTCCAGCAGAGGGAAACCTGACCCTCTCCAGCAGGGGGAATCTCACCCTCTCCAGCAGAGGGAAACCTGACCCCGTCCAGGAGAGGGGAATCTCACCCTCTCCAGGAAGAGGAAACCTTACCTTCTCCAGCAGGGGGGAACCTGACCTTCTCCAGCAGTGGGGAACCTGACCTTCTCCAGCAGGGGGGAACCTGACCTTCTCCAGGAAGGAGGAACCTCACCCTCTCCAGGACGGGGGAACCTGACCCTCTCCAGCAATGGGGGGGATCTCACCCTCTCCAGCAGGGGAGCCTCACCTTCTCTAGCAGGGCCTTCACCTCCCACTCCTGGCGCTGCTTCCGGCTTCTGTATGGATTACTCTCCAGGCCATCGAAGTTGGGCTCACCGGCCCCTGAAGGGAGGGAGGGAGAAGCATGGAGCCATAAGGAAGAACCTCAGTCCAACAGCTCCAGCCCAACTAAGCCCCCAGTTCCTGGATGTCTCTGGCCCAAACTTCCACCCAGAGTTCATTCACTTCAAGCCCCATCCCCTGGCCCACTCACCAGGGACCAGCATGCTGGTGATGCCCCCAGTGTGCCCCACCCCCAGCACATCTTCAAAGGGGCAGAACTGAAGGCCATGCACAGGGCCTGAGAGCCGGTGGGTGAGGTAGGGCTGTTCAAGGGAGGGTGGGCTGGCCTTGCCCTGCCCTGCCCAGATGTTGACAACGTCACCCATTCCCGCCACCAGCAGTCCCCTCTGGGAGAAGGCCAGGTGCCCTGCTCCATGGGGCAGGGTCCGAGTGCTCAGAGGCTGGTACGTCCCTCGCAAGTCAAAGATCTTCAGCTGGTGGTCTAGGCCAGAGGTGGCCATGTACCTGGTGAGAGAAGAGGGATCAATTAATATGTCAGTAAATGGGTTTACCAAGCAAGCTGTGGCCAAGTCCAGGCATCAAGTCTGGCTGGGGAGAAAAAGATTAATAGTAATAACCACTGCCATCACCCTGAACACTCCACAGGCATCCTCTCAGTTAAGCTGCACACAACTCATACTATTTTTATTTCCCTTTAAGAGGTGAGGAAACTGAAGCTCAGGGAAAGGAAAGCTAGGTCAGTGAATGGTCAGGCCTGTCTCTTTAGCATCTGCCTCTAACCTGCTAACACCACACAGCCCTCTCAAGACACGGGCGTCAAAAGGAACGCCCACACGACAGGCTGCACCCAAATGTGATGTCCCCCTGTACACACATGCAGCACACAGCCCAGCAAGGGGAAGGAGCATGTGCAGTGGTCAGAAAGGCTTCATGGGAAAGGTGGGATTTGAGCCATTCTAGATAATTCTCAAAAAATTACAGGAAGTAGATACACAGCAGGTTCAAATGCATTAACACCAGAGTGTTGAGACTGAGAGGGAAGCAGAGGTTTGTTAGGATTGGTGGGAAACATGGTCAGGAAAATCAGGAGCAGACAATTTGTGAGGTTTCTTTAAAGTCAGACTGAGGACCCACAGCTCATGATCCCAACATTGCTCTCTGGCAGTGACAAATCACAAAGTGAAGGCTCCAAGGACTTGAGAAGACCTACTCAGGGAAGTGGTGAAGTAATGCACTGGAGGCCCTTGCCCTGCCCCTCTGTGTGCTTTCCCTGGAAGGAAGGAGGGAAGGTTGGTGACCAAATCCTCTCCAGGAATCATGTACTGCATAAGTTGTTTACTTTCAGAAGTTGGAGTTCCTTTTCTTTTTTTGAGACAGGGTCTCTCTGTTGCCCAAGCTGGAGTGCAGTGGCATGACCCTGGCTCACTGCAGCCTCTGCCTCCCTGGTTCAAGTGATTCTCGTGCCTCAGCCTCCCAAGTAGCTGGGATTACAGGCATGCGCCACCACCGCTAATTTTTAGTAGAGCCAGGGTTTCGCCATGTTGACCACGCTGGTCTTGAACTCCTGGCCTCAAATGACCTGCCCACCTTGGCCTCCCAGAGTGCTGGGATTACAGGTGAGGTTGGAGTTTCTATGTTCAAGTTGTTCCTTAGAGAGGGAAGCTGAAGGGGGACCAGCCAGGTAGGGGATGTATGTTTGCCAAGAGGCCAAGGAGTCTCTTTTTTGCCTTGGCTGTGAACCCAGGAGAAGGGAACTGAAGAGTTCTTATGAGCAGAGACTTGCACAGTGATGGAGCCCAAGAGAGGACCAGCTGGATACTTCCGACAAGATAATCAGCGCCCTGACTTTACCAAAGAGAAAGGCCATCAGTGCAAACCAGGAATTACCGAGCGCTCGTGGAACACAGGGTCACATCCTTTGGTGAACTAACAACTCAAGGATGCATGCTGGCTCTTCTCCCCTCCACACACCCATCTATGGGACCCCTGGGTAAAGACCAGCCCAGTGCCAAATGGGAGTCTACTGTACTACTAGTAAGCAGCAGTTCGGCTTTGAGAAGTCAACGCAATCCAATCATAATACAAGCTACCAGAACACCTCTTAAGAAAGATGGTCAGCCTCATCACTGGAGCCCCCGTGGCCTGACAAGCTCCTGAGGAGGACCAGAGAAAAGCAGGGATGGGCTGAAGATCACAAGGACCAGAGCTGTTTAGCATCAAGGTGTTGATTAAACTTCAGGCCTCAGCGAACTAGTGATTAAGCCCTAAGCACAGGAGTGGCTGACCCAGGTAGCCCACGGAGGGCAAGCTACAGCTTTGGCCCAGTGGCCCAGAGAGGGCAGAAACCCTTGGGCAGGCCTTCTGACTCTCCTAGAGCCAGGCTGGTATAAATATGGAGTAAAAAGGGCAGAACCAAATCACTCATTCACAAAGATACAATTACAAAGGCCAGACACGGTGGCTCACGCCTATAATCCCAGCACTTTGGGAGGACAGGCGGGTGGATCACAAGGTCAGGAGTTCAAGACCAGCCTGGCCAACATGGTGAAATTCCATCTGTACTACAAATACAAAAATTAGCCGGGTGTGGTGGCACACACCTGTAGTCCCAGCTTCTCAGGAGGCTGAGGCAGGAGAATCGCTTGAACCCAGGAGGTGGAGGTTGCAGTGAGCCGAGACCACACCATTGCACTCCAGCCTGGGTGACAGAGTGAGACTCCGTCTCAAAAAAAAAAGATACAATTATGCAAAAACAGGGAGCGGGTGGTGGGGGGGGTGGTCCCAGCATCCTGGAGACTTTGAATAAGCTGGTGGCCAAGCTGGATGTGGTGGCTCACAGTAATTACTCTGTAATCCCAGTACTTTGGGAGGTTGAGGTAGGAGGACCGCTTGAGCCCAGGAGTTCAAGACAGAGACCAGCCTGGGCTACATGGTGAAACCCCATCTCTACAAAAAATAGAAAAATTATCCAGGTGTGGTGGTGTGTACCTGAGTCAAATTCTGGGTGACAGGAAAATTCTGGGAGATGAGGGCAGGTCAAGAGAAACTTTAGGAGGCGGTGACCTATCCAGTGATGGACACATTGAGTCTGGGATGACAGAGGATAACTGTGTAGAAACTAATGGCATCACCTGAGCTAGGCGTGGTGGCTCATGCCTGTAATCCCAGCACTTTGGGAGGCCGAGGTGGGCGGATCACCTGAGGTCAGGAGTTTGAGACCAGCCAAGCCAACATGGCAAAACCCCATCTCTACTAAAAATACAAAAATTAGCGCATGCAGTGGCATGCACTTGTACTCCCAGCTACTTGGAGGCTGAGGCAGAACAATCACTTGAGCCTAGGAGGCGGAGGTTGTAATGAACCGAGATCGCGCCACTGCACTCCAGCCTGGGTGATAGATCAAGACTCCGTCTCGAAAAATAGTAATAAAATAAATAAATGCATCACCTGGCCAATCATTCTCAAAAACCATAGCCATGGCCGGGTGCAGTGGCTCACGCCTGTAATCCCAACACTTGCACTTTGGGAGGCCGAAGCAGGTGGATCACGATGTCAGGAGTTCAAGACCAGCCTGGCCAAGATGGTGAAACCCCATCTCTACTAAACATTAAAAAATTAACTGGGCGTGGTTCGTGGGCGCCTGTAATCCCAGCTACTCAGGAGGCTGAGGCAGGAGAATCGCTTGAACCCCGGGGGGCAGAGGTTGTGGTGAGCTGAGATTGTGCCACTGCACTCCAGCCTGGGTGACAGATCAAGACTCTGTCTCAAAAAAAAAAAAAAAATAGCCACAAGTTTTTATACCTAAAGGATAACGGGAGCACCACACCAGGGCAGGCTCAACGATTCATCCTTTTATCTCCAGAACCTCAGCGCAGAGCCCTGCCCACAGCAGGTGCCCAGTGAATACCTGATGACAAAAGGAATCAGAGGAAAATACAAATCAGACAGAAAAGCTGTGGAAAATGCAGATACTCCCTCAGGAACAGCAGAAATCCAAAGCAGACACCACCTCCACCCCTCACATCAGCCAGACCTGGAGAGAACGATCATCTTGAATGACAATGATGAACACAGCGCTCCCTATTTTGCTAAGCGCTGTGCTAAACTATATGCCTTAACTCATCTTAATGTCTACAACAGCTTATATGAGGGCTTTAAACCAAGGCTTGGTAAACTACTGCCCATGGGCCAAACCTGGCCCATCATCTAGTTCTGTATAGCCCACAAGCCAAGAATGGTTTTTACATTTTTAAGTGGTTGAAAAAAAATCAAAAGAATATTTTGAGACTGTGAAAACCGTATGAAATTCAAATTCCAATATCCAACAAATAAAGTTTTATTGGAACGGGGCCACACTATTTACTTAATACTGTGGCTGCTTTTGCTCTACAACACACAGCCGAGTGGTCACGACAGCGACTACAGCATCCTGATTTGCACTGCTGCTTTGTACACTACAAGTCACAGTGACACAGTCGTAAGTGCTTCACAGCATTTCAAGCACCTCACATATCACCTATCATTACCTGTGTGAAAAGATGTTTTCAAAGATGAAATACTTGCAATCTCTACAGATCAGCATGAACATGAATATCTACAGTCAAATTTGACCATCTGGAACACTAACTTTGTACATCAATTAGGCAAAATGTTAACCTCAAAAAGAGAAATTCAGTTCTTCCCATTAGTAGATCTGTATTACACAAATATCATATTTGATTATTATTATTTTTTTTTTCTGAGACCGGGTCTCACTCTGTTGCCCATGCTAGAGTGCAGTGGCATGATCACAGCTCACTGCAGCCTTAACCTCCTGGGCTGAGGTGGGAGGATCACCTCAGCCTCCTGAGTAGCTGGGACTACAGGCATGCACCACCACACCCGGCTAATTTTTCTATCTTCTGTAGAGACAGAGTTTTGCCATGTCATGGGTGACATGGCTTGTTTCGAACTTCTGGGCTCAAGTGATCTGCCCACCTCAGCCTACCAAACTGTTAAGATTACAGGCATGAGCCACTGTGTCCAGTCTCATATTATGTTTTGTTTGTTTGTTTGTTTTTGAGACGGAGTTTTGCTCTTGTTGCCCAGGTTGGAGTGCAATGGCACAGTCTTGGCTCACTGCAACCCCTGCCTCCCAGGTTCAAGCAATTCTCCTGCCTCAGCCTCCCAAGTTGCCGGAATTACAGGCCCCCGCCACGACACCCGGCTAATTTTGTGAATTTTTAGTAGAGACAGAGTTTCGCCATGTTGGCCAGGCTGGTCTCAAACTCCTGACCTCAGGCGATCCACCCGCCTTGGCCTCCAAAGTGCTGGGATTACAGGCGTGAGCCACCGCACCTGGCCATATTACATTTAATTTTATAACCTAAAAATGTGTGGGCCAGGCGCAGTGGCTCACGCCTGTAATCCCAACACTTTGGGAGGCCGAGGCGGGCAGATCATCTGAGGTCAGGAGTTCAAGACCAGCCTGGCCAACACAGTAAAACCCCGTCTCTACAAAAAAATACAAAATTAGCTGGGCATGATGGCAGGTGCCTGTAATCCCAGCTACTTGGGAGACTGAGGCAGGAGAATCGCTTGAATCTGGGAGGCGGAGGTTGCAGTGAGCCGAGATCACGCCACTGCACTCCAACCTGGGAGACAGAGCAAGACTACGTCTCTCTCAAAAGATTTAAAAAAAAAAAGGTCAGGCGCAGTGGCTCACGCCTATAATCCCAGCACTTTGGGAGGCTGAGGCGGGCAGATCACTTGAGGTCAGGAATTCGAGACCAGCCTGAACAACATGCTGAAACCCTGTCTCTACTAAAAATACAAAAATTAGCCAGGTGTTGTAGCAGGCGCCTGTAGTCCCAGATACTCGAGAGGCCAAGGCAGGAGAATCACTTGAACCTGAGAGGTGGAGGTTGCAGTGAGCTGAGATTGCGCCATTGCACTCCAGCCTGGGTGTCAGAGCGAGACTCCATCTCAAAAAAAAAAGTTGTGATAATTTGTTTTCTCTTGGTATTTAAATGCCTACATGGTACCCTTTGATTTTACCTCTTATCAGCAAATCATAAAATATTTACTATCTGACTCTTTACAGAAAAAGTTTGTGGACCCTTGAAATGGACACTCATATTTCCATTTTCGGGGTCAGGAAACTGTGGCACACAGAGGTTATGAAATATGCCTATACTTGCAAGGCCCATCCGTGGTAACACTGCGATTTAAACCTGGGCATCCTGGCTTTAGACTCTGTGCTCCTAAAGCACACTGCCTTCCACACCTTTCTGCCCACCTATGACTCCTAACACCTCACCGCCACCAGTGACTTACGTGCCTGTAGAATCTACTGCCACAGCCCGGACCCCACCACGATGACAGAGAATCTTTGCCAGTGGCTCCTTCATAGCTGGACTCCATAAAGACACAGTACCTGGAAGAGAAGAAGAACCAAAGTTGCTAATACACACCTAAGCCTGAGGTTACTAAACATGGGAAAGATGGGAACTCAAGACCAAGAGATAACAAAAAAGGGAAATAAAAGGGTAACTTTAAGGGACTCATGAAGTACAAATATAGAAGAAAAGCAAGTCAGGATGGTCAGAGTCAAAACTAAGCCAGGTACTGACCATTGCTGTGTCCGAGATGGATGACGGCATTGTAAGGGTTCTGACTCATAACATCGAGCCGCCCAGCTCGAGCATTCAGAGCTGCCACAATCTTCCCCACTGACACATCCAGGTAGGTTAGAAACCCTGTTTCTGACTGAGAGAGAAAGACAGAGAGAATGACCCAGTCCTGATTGCCCTCTGTATTCCCTCTGCTGGGGTCCTAAAGGAGAGGTGGTCATCCCAAGGGCTTCCACCCAGTTCCTGAGCTCCATGGCCACTCACAGCTGTAGCCAGGAGGAAGTGGAAGGGCAGGAACTCAAGCCGTGTTACTCGGTCACAGCGGCGGATACAGTGGAGCTCAATGCCCTGATTGTCATAGATGTGGAGCCAGCGGTTCTGAGCAACAGCAAGCAGTGCCTCAGAATGGAGAAACCTGGGGGAGAGGAAGAGTGGTTCAATTGGGAAATGAGGTCACAGGCTATCATTCAATCAGGAATGGACTATCTCACCCCAACTGACCGCTGACAGTGAGGCCACTGACCGGATGTCCCGCACCGCCTCCATGACGTTGATCTCGCACATAAGCTTCTTTGTTACCCAATCAAGGGCAGCCACATGACCTCGGCGCCCTCCAAAAGCCAGGTGTCTGTTGGAGGTGAGGGGCAGGCAGGGTGTTAAGGCAGGGGACCACCGACTCAGACAACTTGAGGTCTGCCCCACGCCAGCCCCATCTCTCCAGGCGGGCAGACACATGTTGCTGTAGGTGCTTACCCTCACACCCAAGCAAATCGAAGGACCCTCCCCTCATCAGCAACCCAAACATACACTGGGAATGGCTGAAGTGGTTAAGGAAACACATCTTAGTTCAAGAGTCACTAGAATTCAACCTTACCTTCCAGTTCGAGAGTAGTTTAGTCTGTAGGGTCCAAACTGCCGCAGATTCAAGTCAAAGTGCTGGGAAAGAGAAGAGTGAAAAAAAAGAGTGCCCTGCAGTAACGCCTTCTTCTAGCCCCCATTCCTCTATTGTCCTGCACCACCAATCAATCCCTTGGCTCCTTTACCTCCTCAGGCTCACCTTGGCTGCACTTGCAATGTCCACAGCCTCCACAATGTCAGCCTGGCATATCTTTGCTGTGTCTTCCCCATCCTCCCCTTCCAGAAACCTGAAAGCAAGGGTTAGGATGGCAGTAAAGCTTCCCAATATGAAGCAAGTATACCAACATAAAAACGAGAAAAGACAGTCCCATAAGGCAGGGAATGGGGGTCCAGATTAGGGCTCACTCACCCAGGTTCTTCAGCAAGCAGCAGCTCAGAACGAGCAGCTTTGATACTTGTTTCCTCTTCCTCAGCTTCAGCCACCTCAAGTCGGCTTCGAGTTTTGGCTTTAGAATGTGGTAGCTGTAACATTGTTGGTGGGGAGGAGTGGCAGAAGAACCACAGGATAAGTGGGGTCACAGGAGAGCTACCTGTCCCAGCCTCCATCCAACTCACCCAGACACTCCCTGCCTCCAGCACTTCCCAACTCTCCGGCTGGACCTCACCTTTCGGGATTTGTCAATGCGACAGAACTTCTGGACCACTTCCACAGGGACGGGGGCGGGGCCTGGGAATGGATCTTGGGCCTAGGGGAAAGGAGGACGCAATTAGCAGACAGCCTTGGATTGACCCCAACCCTCTCACTCTCAAGGAACGAGGCGGCCTGCCTCGCCACCCATCAGGTCCCACGCTCACCCCGGACAAGCCGCGCTGGGACTCCGGGTTCTTCCATTCTCGGGGTTTCTTCGGGACCTGAGGCTTCTTAGAGATCCGAGACTTCTTTAAGATGTAAGCATTTTTTGGTCTCTGAGGACGGAGCTCCCGATTCTTCTTGTTACGAGGAGGCCCTGGAGAGGCTCCGGCTGTGGTCGGAACGGTCTCTTCCTCCCAGTATCGCCGCGGTTTCTACAGGCACATCAGGAACTCCGCACTCACGCCCCGCCCCCCGACCCCACAGCTAAAAACTTCGTTTCCCACCCAGGGAGGCCTCTACCTTTCTCTTGGTCTGAAGTTTGTCTTTCTTGGGCGGGACATCCTTGCCCGGCTTGGGGGCTGTC
Source organism: Homo sapiens (assembly GCF_000001405.40). Lineage (NCBI taxonomy): Eukaryota > Metazoa > Chordata > Mammalia > Primates > Hominidae > Homo > Homo sapiens. The sequence goes on from NT_167245.2 coordinate 4,532,684, forward strand.
TCCATCTCGCCCACCCGAACGGCGATCCACGTGCAAAACTCTTCTCAGCTGCCACACAGTCGGCTTGAAAACTCCCGGAAGCCCTCTGTCCTTCATCCAATCAGCAGCGTACCAGGTATGAAGCTCTCTAGGTGCCATCTTGAGTGAGGGCACGCTCTCCTTAGAGGGGCGGAACAGTTTTTGGCACCTTATCGCGAGCGGCAGCTTATGCAAGAGTGACTTAAAAAAGAAAGGCAGGTCCGGGGCCAGGGGCTAAGTAGCGGTGCGGTTTCTTTTTCTGGATTAGTTTCCCCATCTTGCCTAAAAATGTCCTAGTCTAGTCTTTTTAGCAGAACTCCACTCCCTAAACATGTCAGAACTACACTTCCCATCAAGGGTCAGAAAGAAACTTCCGGCACAGTCTTTTCCCAGCATTCCTTGTTTACTTCCGGGTTTATTACTACTGAAGGAAGAACGTGAGTAGGTTAGGATTTCGGTTGAGAGGCTTGGGGTCTTGCGTTTCGCCCACCATCTCCTGGGGACAGGGTGGAGTCGATATCCGGGACGGGGGGGAGGTTGCGGTGCCCCTCAGGGCTACCTCTCAAGAGTGCTATCATTTCCGCAGGCCAGATCAGAAAAGGGAGCTCAGGTACCTTCCAGAGAGTGAGACCCAGCGCCCTTGTCTCGCACCCAGTAGGCTTTCATCCCCGCCATGGCGGAGCTGATCCAGAAGAAGCTACAGGGAGAAGTGGAGAAATATCAACAGCTACAGAAGGGTAAGGGAACAGGGTCGGTATGGTCTCGCCCAATGCACTTACAACCCAAAGCCATTACCGAGATAAGGTTTGTTGCCCCATCTGGGCCCTCGCGTGCAGAGACTTCCCCGCCTCAGTCTCAGTACTCTTCCCTGTTCACTCACCCGCTGCCCCCATCCTTTTCTGCTTCCTCAGATCCATATCCACCTGACTAGGATTGTGGGGATAGGTGGCACATTTGATGTTTCTAAATTGCCTTTCCTCTCATCCCCAGACTTAAGTAAATCCATGTCGGGGAGGCAGAAACTTGAAGCACAACTAACAGAAAATAATATCGTGAAAGAGGTGAGGGACTGGGATTTGTGGGGCGAGGAGGGACCTGTACTAGCCATGGTTCTGATCACATATGTCCCATCCCTCCATCAGGAACTGGCCCTGCTGGATGGGTCCAACGTGGTCTTTAAACTTCTGGGTCCGGTGCTAGTCAAACAGGAGCTGGGGGAGGCTCGGGCCACAGTAGGGAAGAGGCTGGACTATATCACAGCTGAAATGTGAGTTTTTATTCCACCACCGTGTGCTGCACCCTGTGATGCAAGTGAACCATTGGAGTAGAGGTGTTGAACCATTGCAGAACAGCTCTCCATAGTGGCCCCTAGTCCTCCAGTTCCTCCAACCCTTTCCTTCCCTTTTAACCCCCCTTCTTCTCCCTCCCCTGGATCTCAAGTTTTCCACCTATCTCTTTCTTGCGTTTAGCACTCTCCATAGTAAGTCCTACTAATTTCTCCCTTTCTGCTTGTCTCCCTTGTCTCTCCTTAGTAAGCGATACGAATCCCAGCTTCGGGATCTTGAGCGGCAGTCAGAGCAACAGAGGGAGACCCTTGCTCAGCTGCAGCAGGAGTTCCAGCGGGCCCAGGCAGCAAAGGCAGGGGCTCCTGGCAAGGCCTGACCCCATGGTGGGGGGAGGGGAGGGGAGGGGAGGGAATGAGGCAGCTCTAGGATCTATACTGTAGCTAATAAAATGTAAAAACACCTGGCTCTGTTTCCTGACCAGGCACTTCTGTCATATCCCCACAGCCCCTTCCACCTTAACACACACCACCTGTATTACCCCCTCAGGTTCAAACTCTTGCACTTGGAATCTCTTTGTGGCACAGTGTTCTTTCTTGAAAGTGAAATCCTAAATGTCTTCAAACCTACTTCTTGCCTGTATATACAACCCTTAACTCTCCCTCATCTTGGTTGGCATGATTCTTTTGGAAGGGCATTTGCAACATACCATATTGCTAGGAATGTCGGTTTAATTGAAAAAGAATACACAGTTCTCTAACCTGAGGCCCCAGGATGAAATGTGGTTACCCTCCTTGCCAACAGCCCTGGCATCTCTATTAGTACTTTTCAGCCTCTGTCTTCCTAGAATTTGCTTGAATGTAGCTTTAAACTGACTTAAAATCCCAGCATGTAATGCTTTATGGTATTATAAGTCCTCCCAAGTTTATATGTTGTCCATAAAGTTGTTCTGCCATTTCCTTGTCCTAAAATTGTTTTATACACATTTGCAGCAAGGGACCAGTGGTAGAGAGGTTACTGGAGAGAAACTGTTCTGAGGAAACTTTTTTCACCAATACCTCACTTTTTGCTCTGTTCATGGGGACAGAAAACATTGTGCCCCTTCCTGTTCCATGGCATCTACCTTCAGCCAATTCCCCACCCCCACTCATAGCAGCCAGTTCATATGTACTGCAAGGACAGGGGAGTAGAATTCAGGTAGTGTTTTGGTTTATTATCTTAGTGTTGTCACAGTGATAGAAACCCCCAGAGTGGGAAGAAGAGCTCCTGCGAGGACCTACATTTTGCCATTCCCCTCTGCCCTGGGGCTCAGAGCCTTGAAGCCTTTGCTTGGCCCTTGCATGTTAGGATATGGCCAAGAATCAGAAACTGATGCGTTTTTCCAGCACTACCTGTGTGCTGCACTCATGGAAGGTGGGAAGCTATACACAGGTATCCAACTTGGTTATAAGACACCAGTTCCCACAGGGCTGGATTTCTCAGCTGTCTGGTAAACCAGTGGCACTTCACTGCCCCAGGGTGGCTGGCTCCCTTTCTGAATTTCTGTCTCAATGTGATATAATTGCCACCATTCAGGATGGCTACCCACATCTGGTATGAACACCATGACTTCTGTAAGCCAACGGGGCTTCCTCCTCAGAACAGTGCCCGTGCAATCTTCCTCCCTGTGGCCTTGATCCTGGGAAAGGAGCCCCCTCCTCCCTCACTCGGAGGAGTTCCTGAGGCAGACGGGCCACTGGTGACGCCAGGTGTAGCAGTAGAGGACCTTCGCCGCTGCCGCAGGAGGAAATCGTGTGAAGCTCCATCCATGGCGTAGAATACATTAGCCGAGGCTGGGATAGTCAGCTCTGAAGGTTCAGGGGATGGATGTAAAGCACACACACAGTTGTTCCCCCCACAGCCGCCCAGATGTGGAAGTACTCCACTCTCCTCCCGAGTCTGCCTTTCCCTCATGGCCTCTGACCTCGCTCCCCTGGTAGCAGCTGTACCAGCTCATACTCTGAAGCCACTGCAGAGTCACGATTGTTTTTCTTAAGGACACGACTGATGACACTTGGAGCCTTGTCCTGGCTTGTCACCTGGCAGAACAGGAGACCAAAAGAGCAATCAGTCAGCCATGATTTCCCATCCTTCTACCCTCAGCCACTGAACCCAACCACAAAATGTTACTTGTGTCCAAGGCTTTAAAATGAACAGGAAAACCCAATATGGTGGCTTCCTATACCCCATAAGCCAGCCCACATGGTGCCCAGTGAAACAGAGCTGCTTCCCTGTGGGGAAACTGCTGTTGATTCTGAAATTTTAACACGGCGACCAAAAGTTTAAGGTGTAGCAACTAATGCAAAATAGCCATCAAAATAAAACAAATTTCAGCTTCTATTGAAGACTAGAGTTTAGAAGATAAAATTAAAAATAAAACATAACTGCCAAAACCAAAGGTCAAAATTAAAACTACATTCAATTCCATTTGGCTGCCCAAACCTCAGACAACATTTATAGTCCAACAAGACACCATCCTTCACCCCAACTCCATCCCAAGGCTCCCTCACCAAAATGCTCTTATAGACACTGCCATCTTCCCCCAACTCCATCTGGACTCGGATGATACGGCAATCAGAGGCCCCTGGCCCAGATCCCTCTCCCCCATATCCAGTCCCCCCGGAGGCCTCTTCTGCACCCCCACTCAGCGGGGAGCCACAGGAGGCTGAGCGGCGGTGACCTCGAGAAGGCCTAGGGGAGGAGGCTGGTGGGGAGAGGTGGCTGGGGTCAGCTGGACTGTGCAGGGATGGACTGCTTTCCAAGGCAGAGTCTAGTGACGAGACAGATGGCCACTTCATGTGCTAGGAACAAACAACATGGGACTGGCATGAAGGCAGGGAGGTTTAAGGAAGAAACATTTACAGAGTGAGGGTCAGCGTCAAGGTCAGAGTCAGGAGCAGAGCTCACCTGGGCCAGCCGAGTCAGCAGAGGAGCAGGAGTTGTAGGCGCCTCATCTCCCCCAGTACTGGGCCGGTCACAGGACACAAGCGGGGTAGGGACCCCAACAGAGCCCAAAACCCTGCAGTGGCAGGAGATTGGGAGGATCAGAGAAAAGTGGAAGTCCCAAGAAACCACCCCCCAGCCAGTGAATCTCTCACTCTGTCCACTGCGAGATGACCAATGTTGGCCGAAGCACCCGTGGGGCAGGAGGGTCACTGGAACCAGGTGGCTCCACCTCACAGGATACACGATGGCTGGGTTAGGGGGGCAATAGGCAGAGCTCAGGACATGACACCAATCCCCCACACCTGGCCAGAACCCTGGAGTCCCAACCTCACCCGCCAGTCACCTCTGAGCCTCTGTCAGTGGCCGGAGCCCCTGTAGCCACCTCTGGATATCATGGTCAGGTTGGAGGTTATAGCCACGACATTCATTCTGGAGCCGTCGCAACTCAGAAAGGACTGCAAACTCCTGGGAAGGAGCCCTCAAACTGCAGGAGCCAAAACTCAGGGACCCCTGACTTTTCCCCCTCCCCTTCCTGGAACATGGATAGGGAAGTCCAGCATCCAGCCCAGACACTCCGCTCACCTTCCTCCGCTTGTCAAAATTGATGTATCCATTCTGCGAGGAAAATGGGGATGGGGTGAAGGTTCCAACCCTACCTTCCGGCCACAGAGAGAGAATATCCCCTCTCTTAAACACACACAGCCACATCCAACTCACAACCACTTCCCTCCAGCCTCTCTGACTCTTCGATCCCTCCCTGCCTTCCTCCTCAATCTATCATGGCCTAAGCACTCCACTTGACCCTTTAAATTGAATTTCTCAGGTAGACAACGAGTCTGCTTTGCAGATGAGAGGACTGGATAGTATCCAATTCGACAGGATTCCTTATCCAGAGAGGATAAGGAACTTGTCCAAGGTCTCAGTATTTGTTTATTTAACAAACTCTAGCAATAGAGCAGGAGCCCATCACAAAACCTAGATGTGCTTACGTTTCAGGCACGTTCTAAGCACTTGACAAATACAAATTCATTTAACCCTTATAACAGATCAATGTAGATGCTATTTCTAGTTTCCCATTTACAGATCACTGAGGCGACTTGGCACAGAAACAGATCTGGCTCTGTCCCACACTCAGCTATTTGTGCCTTACAGCCCCTTGCAAGGGGCGGGGGGGTCTGTCCGACCCTGCAGCCCACTTGTTACATCATTGCAATGACACACACACACACCACTGACCTCCAACTCATCCTTGGAGGCTGCATCCAGCATCACAAGGTCCTTCAGGAAGGTGCCAAGGTATGGGACCACACCCTGAAGTCAGGGGTCAGGGTCAGAAGTGCCTGCCATTGACGTGAGGGCCCTCCATCCCTCCGCACTTGCCCTCCTCATTGCCTCAGAGAACAGATTTCATTCTCCTCACCCCTCTGTGCCTCCCTTACCCATCCTTCAGGCTGCTCCCCCAAAACATACTCCTCACCCCTTCATAATCACCACCCCCACGCCCACCACCCCGCTAGTCACTCACCCCACCCCGGGAGCCAGACCTCGGGGCCTTCTTGGAGTGTGGCTCCAGAGGAGACTGCAGCTTCACCTCCTGGTGGTGACAAAATAAAAGAGACATGGGGGAGCAGTAGGGAACAAGGAGAGGTGGGAATGCCACAAACCAGGCTCTCACCTGCACGAGCAGCTCCCGACTCTGGGAATAATTATCCTCCTCGGAGAAAATCTGGCAGAGGCTGGAAAAGACTCTGAGGCTGTCCCTGGGGAAGGGAGAAAAGTGGCCCTGAGGACAGGCCTGGCTCTGTCACCCCCTCTTCCCCGCCTTCTGAGGAACCCCCACCCCAGTCCAATGCCTCAGCCTCCGCACCTGGTTGCTTCCCCCCAGGCTGCCCGAAGCCTGTGGATGGGGCTGGACTGCAGGGCTGACACCACGGCATAAACTGAAGAGAAGTTTCGGAGCAGCCGGCACTCCTGTGGGGGTCAAAGAAGAGAGCTAAGGCTATGGGAGGCCTCTCCATTCCATGGCCACAAACCGTAGGGCAATCTTCTCTCTCACCTCTGCCACGCGGATCCACTTCTCCAGGAGCCGGGCCCTCTGTGGGGGACGGAGTGGCCGTATGGTCACCTCCCCAGGTCCCTCTCCAGTGGAAGTAGCCCCCAGGACAGAACTAACCACTGCCCCTGCCACCTTGTTAAACTGTGTGACAGTAGCTCGGACAGATGGGCAGAGGTGAGAATGTCCTGGCCGGTCTCTGTGACCCCACAGGCCTCCCAGGCACTGAGAGGGGATCAAATTGAGAAAAAGTTCCTGCAGGGTAGAGGTCAGAGGTTAAAGTTCATAGTCAAGTGAGGTCAGCCTTCCAATATCAGGGATCTGAGGATCTCAGGTGGCCAAGGAACCAGAGGGGCACAGGGTTTGAAGGGTAACGACCAAAGGGAAAAGGGGAGAATCAAAATGGTAGGTGGAGGAGGCTAGGAGCTGGATCAGGAAGGGGTGGAAGCAAGGAAAGGATCTGGAGTCAAGGAGAGGTTAGTAAGGGGTCAGGGGGCATAGGGGCCAGAGGTCAGGGTCTCACCGCATCTAGCAGGGTCAGCTGTTCGGCCAAGTGGTCAGCGAGGAACACCAGGACATCCGTGGGGTCAGCAGGGGGATCGCCGGGGAGGGCCAGGGGCTTAGGAAGGTCGGGGGCCTGGGGGTCCACCCGGGACCGGAGATTGCGGATGAGGTCAGCGCTGCCCCCCCCAACACCCTTCCCTGCTGCATACCCTGTCTGAAGTAAGAAGCTCTCAAGCCGGTCAAGCTGACCCTTGGCCTCAGAGCCAAAATCCTCAGGGTGAGAGGCCAGCCAGGTTGACAGTACAGAGATGGCTACCCTGGGAGAAGGGAATCAGCCAAGGGTGAGAGGTAAAGCTGCAGCCTGGGCAGAGGGGACTGTGAGATTAAGAACCAGGGGTCACTCACTCTGTTGTCCTCTCTAGTTCGTCGGTAGGATGAGATTCAAGGGCTTCCAGCCTGAGGGGGAGAAGAGGATCTATCTGTCCATTTTTCCCAAACCCTCAGTGGCTTTGACTATTTTGGTGGGATGTTGCGGCTTTAGGAAATCCGGGCAGATACTCCACTACCCTGCGTCCCTTATGACTCTGACCTGTCAGCCATAAGCCCTAGCAAGGCAGGCGTGGAGGTGAAGGCCCGGTGGGTAGCCAGGAAGGCTGACATGAAGCTCACATCAGTCCCTGATGTCCGGGTATCCAGTAGGTGTCTGACCAGGGCCTCCAGAGTGCCAGCTCGGAGCCGTCGGGAGGAACGTGGGGGAGGCATAGGGACCTGGAGAACACAGAGAGATGATCGCTAACCCTTTCTCCCACTCTGCACCTAGATTTCTGAGGACAATCCCAGACCCAGGAGATGTTCCAGACTCATTTTTCTGATATTCAGAGAGGGCAAGAGTCTTGGCCTATGTCACACAGCAGAGTCCAGGACTCCAGAACTCCAACCTAGCACTCTGGCCAGAAAGTCAGCCAGAGGAAGGAAAACTGGGAATGAAGAGTCAGAGGTGAGAAGCTAAAGTCATGATCTCACCAAGGGATCAAGAGGTCGATATTGGCGGCTTGTGACGGTAAACACGGCACCATCCTCCTCCTCATCCCAGACGGACACAGGGGCCTGGAGGAGCAAGGAAGGGGAAGTCAGACAGTTCCACACCACCCCCCATTGCCCTCAGCCTTCACCCCAGGCCCTGCTCCTCCCTCTGTACCCCTCACCTGTGGTGGCAGGGCATAGTACCAGCGAGTGCGAGGAAGGGTTGGGGGAGCTGGTGACCCCAGGTCTCCCCCACTGGGGCCCAGACAGCCCCACCCCAGCCGCCTCAGGGCCCCGGTGGAGTCGAAGGGGCTGCAGTGGAGGCGTGGATGGAGTACAGGAATTCTGATCCTGGAGACCCCCAAAGCCCCTTCTCCCCAGAGCTGAACCCACACACGACAGAGAAGCAGGGTACAAAGGGCAGGAGAGGGAAGCGAGAGGCAGCAAGCCAGAGGCAGCGACTAGGGGTAGCTGAAACCTCAGTCCAGGCACTGCCGCATGCCCCGCCCCTCCCGGCCAAGGACTATACCAGCCCAGAGAATTAGTCTTTTTCAGGACCCCTTTCACCCTGGTCCCTCGGGTAGCGCCTCCACTATCTCAGCCCTAAGGGACCCCCGAAGGTAGCAGCTCCAATCCCAGTACAGGAAGGAAAAGGGGAAGTGGGATGATAGGGGGTTGGGGGCGGTAGACTCAGAGAGTCACGTGGCCCCAGCCCCTCCCCCGACCGATCCCGAAAAACCAGCCCTGCCAGTCAACCTGCCCTCACCTAGGATCTGGACCTAGGAGTTTAGGGCCTCGGGGCCCCAAATCCAAATTCTGGCCCCTCCTGAGGCCCGAAATCCTGCTCCTGGCCACCACCATTAATCCCTAATGAAAACAGATGACCACTCTCTACCCACCCTAGGATCTTTCCTCCAGGTCCCAGAACCGTGGCTTCCCGGCCTCTACCCAGGACCGGGGCGGGGCGGGGGGGCGGGGGGAAGGGGGAGAGAGGGAAGGAGGGGTCACGAAATCTGAGGGTTCCCTCCCCAATCCCAGAGTCAGAGGAGCTGGTTACTGTGGAAACAAACCCCTCCCCGCCAAACAAAAACAAGGAGGGAGACAGGGACCAAGACACGACTGCTCAGAGAGGTAGGCACACTCAGGCAGGCAGAGGTGGAGGGCCAAAGACCCGCAGGGACAGGACAGCCAGCCAGAAGTTCCAGGCAGGAACAGGGCAGGTTCCTGCGGGCAGGTCCTGAGTCACACTGACAGAGAACCACGGAGACGCCAGGACTCCCCGCAGCAGAGAAACGGGCCGACACCCAGGGAGGCGCGAGAATAACTGAGGCAAGGAGGAGGAGATGTAGGGACCCAGAGACAAGAGAAAAGTGGAGACTTCAGAAATACATACGCCCCCTACCTCCCACCACCCGCGTCTCACCTCTTCTTCTTCCTCCTCCTCTTCCTCCTGCCCCCCGCCCACGACCAGGCCACCTGGGCCCCCACCCTCTTCGGGGTCCCGGCTTCGGAAGCTGCTCAGTACGACTCCCCCGGGGGGGCTCGTGTCCAAAAGCAGCCGCAGGGGCCGCGGGAGCATGGCCGAGTGAAGGAATCAGCGGGGTCGGGCCATGGGGGCGCCTGGGGAGAGACGGGGTGGGGTGGGGGTGGAGAGTCAGGCAGGCGCGGGGGAACCGGGCAGGGAAGGGACGTGGGTGGGTGTCAAGAAGACCGGAAGGGAGTTCTGCAGGAAGGTTGGGGGAGGGGGCAACAGAAGGGTGGAATAGGGGGGCCCTTGGTGCTGTTGGGGAAGGAGGAGGTCACGAGTACGGGGACGCGCAGGGTGCTCAGGCTCTGACCTGCTCGGGAGGGGTGGGGGCAGCGTGGGTCCTGAGCCGCTGTTGCCGTCGGTCTCCGGCCCCGGACCGAGTCCCCTCCCCGGCTTTTCCGTACCCCCTTGAACCCCCCCGCCGGGCTCCTGGGCCCTCCCGCCCTTTCCGCTCCCCCCCGCGTCCGCCCGCTCCGAGAGCAGGAGCCAAAAGGGGAAGGAAGTGAGGACAGGAGCCAGGGCCGCGGACTAGGGGAGCGCTGGACGCTCAGGGACCAGGACCCAGGCGCCCGAGTCCCCAGCTCCACTGTCCTCCGCCTCTACACTCGGGGATTCTGGAGACCACGTCGACCCGCAATGAACTGGAATAAAGATTCCAGTCTCCAGCCCCTGGGGGAAGGCAGGAGCAGAATTTGACATTCCCTTCCCCAACAATAACACGGCTAAAACTCCCGCGGGAAGCGTTTCAGGCGGAGAGAGAGCCGGTCACTCCATCCCCACGGGATTACCCTCCCTACCACAACCCACGAATGTAGCTGACCGAAATCCCGGCCGGGTTTTCCGAAGGGCCCTCGATTCCCGCCCCCTCGGCAGGGGGCGGGGCAGGAAGCAGCCACATCCGGTTCCAGATTCGGCTCTCAGAGGCTTCCGGCGCCGAGACCGAGATCCCCGTCGGCTCGGTGTATCCTCGCTGGTGGAGTACCCTCTGCTTGAGCGCATCTCATGCGCCAGTAGTGGCGCCCGCCCCGAACGGTGTCGACGGGGCGTTCTCTGAGCGGTTCAGGGTCACTGGAAGGGACCAGAGGTGATTGGAATATTCATTGAGCTTGGAAAGGGGTTGGAATGAGAGAACCGTTTGGAAGCACTGGAATACAGCTTTATTCCTACACGATTAGACCCGTTACCCCGTGGGTCTGGCCGACCGTCCTGACTCGGAGATCCCTGAGCTGCGCCGCCGCTTCCTTCGTCAACATCCAGCAGCTACTTGATGAGCGCCCTCCAGTGGGCCTTAGGTCCCTATGCCGGCGCGGGGTTACAGCAGTGGACAGACAGGCCGGTCCCTGTCCTCGAGGAGCCCATGATCCGCGGGGAGACAGGCATTTAACGACGACTCACACGATCACTTAAATACAACTGTGGTGAACCGCACAAGAGGGACGCGCGGCGGTCTGCGGGGAATGACGAGGCCGACCTCGTCTGCGACCCAGGGAGGGCAAGGGTGGACCAGGCAAAGGGAACAGAGGACTGGGACCTGGAGGTGGGCGGGAGGCGTTTGGTTCATTGGAGGAAAGGAATAGCCCTGTGTGTGATGAGCATTGAGAGGAGGTCTGGCGAGCACCATCTAGGGCTGAAGAACTAGGCAGTGGCTCCAGCGCGGGGCGGTGGGGGGGACAAGTGAGCCAGGGCAAGAAGAATGGATTTGGCCCTAGAGTACGGGTTCTCCAAATGTAACCTCGGCCCTACAGATCTCTGAGACTATGTCAGGGGGTTTGTGAGATTTTATAACAAAATTAAGATGTTAGTACAATATCGTGTTTCGCCGCCGGGCGCGGTGGCTCACGCCTGTAATCCCAGCACTTTGGGAGGCCGAGGCGGGCAGATCACAAGGTCAGGAGATCGAGACCATCCTGGCTAACACGGTGAAACCCCGTCTCTACTAAAAACACAAAAAGTTAGCCGGGCGTGGTGGCGGGCCCCTGTAGTCCCAGCTACTCGGGAAGCTGAGGCAGGAGAATGGCGTGAACCCGGGAGGCGGAGCGTGCCGTGAGCCGAGATCGTGCCACTGCACTCCAGCCTGGGCAACAGAGCGAGACTCTGTCTCAGAAAAAAAGAAAAAAAGAAAGATTATTTGCAGCCGGGCGCGGTGGCTCACGCGGGTAATCCCAATACTTTGGGAGGCCGAGGCGGGCGGATCACCAGGTTAGGAGATCGAGACCATCCTGGCTAACACGGTGAAACCCCGTCTCTACTAAAAAATACAAAATATTAGCCAGGCATGGTGGAGGACGCCTGTAGTCCGAGCTACTTGGGAGGCTGAGGCAGGAGAATGGCGTGAACCCGAGAGGCGGAGCTTGCAGTGAGCCGAGATCGCGCCACTGCACTCCAGCCTGGGCGACAGAGCGAGACTCAGTCTCAAAAAAAAAAAAAAAAAGTTTTTTGCCTTCTTCATTCTATAAGTGTACAGTGGAGTTTTTCAGAAGCTACATGATATGTATTGACACCATGGTTCCCACGATGAATAGAATGTGTGCCTATGTATTCTCGTGTTTTAAATTTTTCTCACTTTTAAGTTCTAGTACCATAAATATTGATAGCTATAACCCACATACCCAAAAGCTTTTTGGGGTCCTTGATGATTTTTAAGAGGTCCTGAGAGAAAAAAATTTTGAGAACCACTGTCCTAGAGCTCCAAGAAGGTGAATGCCATAAGATGTGTGTTTTTTAAAAAAGCATTTCTCGGGCCTGGTGTGGTGGCTCACGCCTGTAATCCCAGCACTTTGGGAGGCTGAGGTGGGCAGATCACCTGAGGTCAGGAATTCAAGACCAGCCTGGCCAACATGGTGAAACCCCGTCTCTACTAAAAATACAAAAATTCACTGGGTGTGGTGGCATGTGCCTGTAATCCCAGCTACTCCGGAGGCTGAAGCCACAGAATTGCTTGAACCCAGGAGGCGGAGGTTGCAGTAAGCCAAGATCATGCCACTGCACTGCAGCCTGGGCGGAAGAGTGAGACTCCGTCTCAAAAAAAAAAAAAAAAGAAAAATTATCCCTTATATAAGTGAAAGAAAAAAAAAAAAGCATTCCAGCCACTCAGTGGAGAGAGATTGGAGGGATTAGGAGCAGATGATAGGGTATTATTTTAGGGAGCTACTACAGAAGCTTGGGCCAGAGATGATGGTGGCTTCCACAGGATGGCAGTGAGTGCCCTCACTCTGCTTTCTGGAAGAGAGGAAGGTGGTGAGGAATTCAGGATATTAAAAGGCAGTTGAGGTGTACATGGTCAGTTTAGAGACATATAAACTATCATGGGCACAGATGATGGGAGAAGGATGAGGCTAATATTTTCTGCCCTCCAGACACTGTGCTGAGTGCTGTATCTCCTGCATCTTCTTAAGGAGATACACTGTCTTCCTTAATCCTCCTAAAAGTCCTCTCAGGCTCCGCTGTCCAATATGACAGCCACCACCCACATTAGGCTATTGAGCATTTGATATGTGGCTAGTCCGAATTGAGATGTGCTGACTATTTAAAATAAACACCTGTGTTTGAATACTTAAGGTGAGAAAAGGGCTGCAATTTATTTTCTTTTCTTTCTTTTTTTTTTTTTTTTTTGAGACAGGGTCTCACTTTGTCACCCAGGCTGGAGTACAGTGGGACAACCTTAGCTCATTGCAGCCTCACCCTCCCAGATTCAAGCGATCCTTCTGCCACAGCTCCCCAAGTAGCTGGGACTATAGCTGTGTGCCACCATGCCCAGCTAATTTGTTTTGTTTTGTTTTGTTTTGTTTTTTGAGACAGAGCCTCACTCTGTTGCCCAGGCTGGAGTGCAGTGGTGCGATCTCGGCTCACTGCAACCTCCACCTCCCAGGTTCAAGCAATTCTCCTGCCTCAGCCTCCTGAGTAGCTGAGATTACAGGTGTGCACCACCATGCCCGGCTAATTTTTCTGTATTTTTAGTAGAGACGGGGTTTCACCATGTTGGCCAGGCTGGTCTTGAACTCCTGACCTCAGGTGATCCGCCCTCCTCAGCCTCCCAAAGTGCTAGGATTACAGGCGTGAACCAACGCACCTGGCCAAGACTGTAATTTCTTTTTCTTTTTTTTTTTGTTGTTGAGACGAAGTTTTCCTTTTGTCACCCAGGCTGGAGTGCAATGGTGTGATCTCAGCTCACTGCAACCTCTGCCTCCCAGGTTCAAGCGATTCTCCTGCCCCAGTCTCCCGAGTAGCTGGGATTACAGGTGCCGTCACATCTGGCTAATTTTTTGTATTTTTAGTAGAGATGGGGTTTCATCATGTTGGCTAAGCTGGTCTTGAACTCCTGACCTCAGGTGATCCTCCCGCCTCGGCCTCCCGAAGTGCAGGGATTACAGGCATGAGCCATCGCACCCGGCCTGTAATTTCTTATATTGTTTACATGTTGCAATAATATTTTGGATGTACAGGTTGAGCATCGCCGATCCAAAACTCTAAAATCTGAAATGTTCCAAAACCTGAAATTTTTTTAGTGCCAACATGATGCCACAAGTGGAAAATCCCACAGCTGCCCTCATGTGATGGGTCACATATATTATTAAAAATATTGTGGTCGGGTGCAGCGGTTCACACCTGTAATCCCAACGCTTTGGGAGGCCAAGGCAGCGGGCGGATCACCTGAGGTCGGGAGTTCGAGACCAGCCTGACCAACATGGTGAAACCCCGTCTCTACTAAAAATACAAAAATTAGCCAGGCGTGGTGGTGGGTGCCTGTAATCCCAACTACTCGGGAGGCTAAGGCAGGAGAATCGCTTGAACCTGGGAGGTGGAGGTTGCAGTGAGCCGAGATCGCACCATTGCACCCCAGCCTGGGCGACAGAGACTCTGTCTCAAAAAAAAAGAGAAGGAAAAAAATCTTCAGGCCATGTGTATAAGGTGTATAGGAAACATAAATGATTTCTGTGTTTAGATTTGGGTCTGATCCCAAAGATATTAAATATATGCAAATATTCCAAAGTCTGAAAAAATCCAACATCCAAAAACACTTCTGACCCAAGCATTTCAGATAAGGGACCAGAATTATTAGATTAAATAAGGTATATTATTAAGTTAATTTTACCTGTTTCTGCTTATTTTTTTAATGTGAGTACTAGAGTATTTAAATTTACATATGTGGCTTGCATTATCTTTCTATTGGACAGCACTGCCTAAGTAACTTTTTAAAATCCCTACACCCAAGGAAACATATAGATTAAGTAGCATGCTCAAAGAGTCCTACAGTTAGGATATAGTGCCAGGTTTTAACCCAGATCAGTGTGAATTCCAAGCCTAGGTTCTGCCTACCACACCAGCAGCCTCCCTCCATGGGTTTTGAGATAGGATGAGGAGATAAAGTGACAAGGGAAAGATACAGAGAGGTGGAGCACTGTACCTTCTTTGAATCCTTGCAGGTGGACAGGTAGACAGCTGTGGGGAAAGATTGAGAAGGGATGGGATGCTGGAGTGGTAGAGGTGGAGGGCAGAGGGATGGGTGTCAGGCTCTTGGGAGTAGGTGGGGAAAGTCCACCAACCTCAGGTCATGGTCAGGGTAGGGCTGACACTTACCAGCCCAGCCCAGTGCCTTGAAGAGCCCAAGCAGAAGAAAGGCAGACAGGAAAAGGCCTACGCTGTCCTCAAGGGAGGGCCCTGAAAGACCTGGCAGGCAGAAGGGGTGAGAGTGAGCTCCTGTCTTCCTGGGTGCTGGCTCAGATTCCGCAGAGCTCCCAGCTCTTACCTGCTACCTCCAGGGTGACCTCAGCGCTGCGCCCCGAGGCAGGCAGGCTGGGATGGTGAATTCGACAGGCATAGCGTGCCCCATGCTGCTCAGTGGTGACTGGGGGCGGCTGCAAGTGCCCAGAGAGGCTGACAGAGCCATCGGAATGGTGGCGCAGGGCCGAGAGCCACCTCTGCCCCTCGGCCTTCTGAGAGCGGCCCCCTGGGCCACCCCGGAGTTCCCACTCCACCTCCAGGCCCCCAGAAGGGTAGAAGTGGGACACAAGGCAGAGCAATTCCGGGGGTGCCTCCCCTGGGGCGGCCCGTGCAAGGGTTGCTGGCATCAGGGACACTTTGGGGGGTTCTGGGGAAAGAGGACGAAATGAGCATAGGGAAATCAGTCCATACTGTCCTCCCTAAGAGACCCTCAGTTTGCCTGCTGGCTTCCTCAGAACTAAAGAAGGTTAGGTTTCTTCTCCTGAAATAGGGTACCCACTGTCTCTCCATTGGTGCGTCACAGAAATACCCATGTCAAAGCCCCTCAAATTTCCAGGAAACTTCTAGCCTCCCATTACCCCTCTAACTCCCAGGAACCTCTTTCTATCTCTACTTACTTGCCCAGGCACCCTCTTATCCATCATCCCTCCCCCTATTACGGTCACCACAATCCAGTGCCCACCCTCTACCCCTGGAGACCTCTGTCCCCCAACTCACTGTACACAGCAAGCTCCAGGGTGACCTGTCCTTGCAGGTATGGCAGGTGTATGGTGGCCAGATAGGTGCCCTCCTGAAAGGGTTGAACTCTAGGCAGCCAGAAGGTCCCATTTCCGGTCCATGGGCCCCATGGCTCATCATCATCCCAAGCAGCAAATGCCACGGCCCCTTCTTGGGCTGCTGGCATCTGGCCATTCAGCCCAGGAGTTGCAGCCAGGAGCAGATGTCCCTTACCCAGGTGCTGGCGTCGCCACTCTAGCCCAAAGGGAGGGGGACCCGGAGCCAGAGATGAGGCGGCCTCGGAGGTGGGGGGCATGTAGGCAAAGCTCAAGTCCAGCAGAGCATCTTGTCCCAGTCTCACTCGAGGGGCAGGGGTGTGGGTGAGGACAGTCAGTACCACTGAGGAAGACAGGGAGATGAGGGGTTGGGAGGGGCATGAGGGAGAGAAAGAAGGAGAAAAAAATAGAGAAATGCAGTTATTGGGGAGGGCTAAACTGCAGTTTACCCACCCCTCAGAGGACACCTTTTCTGATACTCACCATTTCCTAGCCCTCCCTGCAAACTCCTTTTGCTCTGCGACTGGGTGGCACCTAGTGTGGCTGAGGGTGAGCAGAGAGGTCTAGGGGTGGTGAGTAGGGGCAATGAGGGGGTATGGCCTTTGAAGCCTACTCTGAACACATAGCACACTCTAGCTCGGGGGACTGCAGAATCCGAGGCCACTTCTGACACAACCTGAACCACTCTATCTCCAAGCACCACCCTTGAGGAACCAGGCCTTTCTTGATTACAGGCGAAGACAATGATTGAGCCATGACTGTCAGTCTTGTGGTGCTGTACAGAATATTTACTGACTCTAGAAGGTTCCAGCTCTAGCCTAGACCTGAGCACAGACCTCTATGCTCTACTGAAGCAGTACAGTGCAGTGGCTAAGTGCCTGGAGCCTGGCTGACCGGGTTCAAATCCCCTCTGCAGCTTATTTATATGGCCTTGGGCCACTTCCTTTTTCCATGGCTCAGCTTCCTAATCTCTAAAATTAAAAGTTGATGATAATAATAGTACCTACTTCATGAGGTTGTTGTGATGGTTAAATCATTAATACCTCTTGCTACTCAAGTCTATTCAGTTCCCAATTTTAGATAACAGAGACACCTACCCATGAAGGGTGCTTACAACACTGTCTGGAACACAGTAAGTCTACACGTGTTTGCTATAGTTACACCTAACTTAGCATACCCCAAGTCAACAGCATCTCTGCAACATTCCCCACCCTGCTCCAATGCCCATCTTCCCTGTCTTTGATGAATGATCACCAAGCCCGCCAGACACTAAAAGCAAACCCTTGGAGTTACTCAGACTCATTTATTCATTCAGCAACTATTGAGCACTGAAGATGTTCAAGGTATCCTGGTAGAAGACAGAATGGTGAACAAGACAAGCAGTCCCTGCTCTCAAATTGCCTATAGTCCAATGACAGACAAGCAAATTGTCAAAAATAATGTGCTATGTGCTATCCCCACCAGGACCTAACAGATCTCACATCTGTTTCCAATTTAGGTTCTCATCAATGTACGTTTAGACAATTACAACAGCCCTCCTGTCTGGTCTCCCTATTCTCAGTCTCTCCTTCAACTCCTTCTTCACACTGTAGCCAAACAAAGTGACTACAAGTCTGATCCCATCACCTACCTGTTTAAAAATCCCAAATATGGGCCAGACGCAGTGGTTCATGCCTATAATCCCAGCACTTTGGGAGGCCGAGGCGGGTGGATCACCTGAGTTCGGGAGTTTGAAACCAGCCTGACCAACATGGTGAAACCCCGTCTCTACTAAAAATACAAAATTAGCCTGGTGTGGTGGCACATGCCTGTAATCCCAGCTACTCGGGAGACCGAGGCAGTAGAATTGCTTGAACCCGGGAAGCAGAGGTTGCGGTGAGCCGAGATTGTGCCATTGCACTCCAGCCTGGGCAATAAGAGGGAAACCCCGTTTCAAAAAAAAAAAAAAAAATCCCAAATACGGCCAGGCGTGGTGGCTCACACCTGTAATCCCAACACTTTGGTAGCCTGAGGCGGGTGGATTACCTGAGGTCAGGAGTTCAAGACCAGCCTGGCCAACATGGCAAAACCCTGTCTCTACTAAAAATACAAAAATTAGCCAGGTGTGGGGGCAGGCACCTGTAGTCCTAGCTACTTGGGAGGCTGAGGCAGAAGAATCACTTGAACCTGGGAGGTAGAGGTTGCCGTAAGCCGAAATCATGCCACTACACTCCAGCCTGGGCAACAGAGTGAGACTCCGTCTCAAAACTAAATAAATAAATAAAATAAAAATCCCAAATACCTAGGAAGTCAGCTGATAAAGGCATAGGCTGAAGCTATATGGCCTGGGTTCAATTTCTAGCCCTGCTTCTTTTTTTTTTTTTTTTTTTTTTGAGATAGAGTTTTGCTCGTCACCTAGGCTAGAGTATAGTGGTGTGATCTTGGCTCACTGCAACCTCTGCCTCCCAGGTTCAAGTGAGTCTCCTGCCTCAGCCTCCTGAGTAGCTGGGATTACAGGCGTCCACAACCGTGCCCAGCTAATTTTTGTATTTTTGGTAGAGATGGGGTTTCACCATGTTGCCCAGGCTGGTCTTGAACTCCCGACCTCAGGTGATCCGCCTGCTTTGGTCTCCCAAAGTGCTGGGATTACAGGCATGAGCCACCACGCCTGGCCTCTAGCTCTGCTTCTTACACACTGTGTGTCCTTGGGCAAATTATTTAACTGGTTTGTGTCCTATATTTATCCATATGCAATACAGGGATAATATTAAAACCTACAACCTATGGTTGTTGAGAGGAATAAGTGAGATTATGCATATAAAGTGCTTAGAACAGGGCCTGGCATATAGAAAATACTTGATAAATGTTAGCTGTTACTATTTTCATTACCTTCATCACTATCATGGACTTGCTGGTTAACTTGGAAAAATCATTTAACCTGTATTTTCCTCACTAGTCCAAAGATCTGACCTTTGCCTATCTTTTAAAAGAATCAAGTAAAATAACAGGCTTTTTCCGGGCATGGTGGCTAACACATGTAATCCCAGCACTTTGGGAGGCTGAGGCGGGTGGATTACCTGAGGTCAGGAGTTCGAGAGCAGCCTGGCCAACATGGTGAAACCCCATCTCTACTAAAAATACAAAAAAAAAAAAATTAGCGGGGCGTGGTTGTGGGTGCCTGTGATCCCATCAACTTGGGAGGCTGAGGCAGGAGAATTGCTTGAACCCAGGAGGCAGAGGTTGCAGTGAGCCAAGATCACCCCATTGCACTCCAGCATGGGTGACAAGAGTGAAACTCCGTCTCAAAAAATAAATATGTACATAATAAAAACAGGCTTTTTAGAATAACACGCCCTCCAAAAGAACTTCTGATGGTTCGCTCTCACCTACAGAACAAAGCCCAGCTTTCAAGGTATTTGAACATTCAGCCCCTAACCCACCCTTCCAGGCTTCTCCTGCACCCTACAAACCAGCCACATAGAACCCCTTTCTTGTGCCTAGTAGAAGTGGTCATCATTGGTCATCTCTTTGCTTTGGTCATGAGGTCCCTTCAGTTTACATTGTCTTTCCCATTTTCTCCCAAACATCTATCAAGCTTGTCCAACCTCCAGCCCAGGGACCACATGCAGCCAAGGACGGCTTGGAATACAGCCCAACACAAATTCATAAACTTTCTTAAAACATTATGAGATTTTTTCACATTTTTTTTTTTTAGCTTATCAGCCATCGTTAGTGTTCGTATATTTTATGCATGGCCCAAGACAATTCTTCTCCCAGTGTGGCTCAGGGAAGCCAAAAGATTGGAGACCCCTGATCTAAATACTCCATGTACATGAAGGTCACTTTCACTGCTGTTTCTTCCCAGAAATGTCTAGGTCCTTCAGGTAGAAGTAATCTTTTTCTTCTTGTAATTATTTTTATGTTCTTTTTAATCCTAGCTTCTGAGGCCTATAAGGTTAAACTGTTCTCATCTTCATGGAATTGTTCAGTAGAGTAAAAACAGTATGCAATTTCACTTAGTTTGTCAAAATCCAGAAACATACTTTTGAATTGTTAAAAAAAAAAAAAAGATCCACAGGCTGGGCACAGTGGCTCACGCCTGTAATCCCAGCACTTTGGGAGGCCGAGGCCGGTGGATCACCTGAGGTTGGGAGTTTGAGACCAGACTGGAGAAACCCCGTCTCTACTAAAAATACAGAATTATCCGGGCATGGTGGCACACGCCTGTAATCACAGCTGCTTGGGAAGCTGAGGCAGGAGAATCACTTGAACCTGGGAGGCGGAGGTTGTGGTGAGCCGAGATCATGCCATTGCCCTCCAGACTGGGCAACAAGAGCAAAACTTGATCTCAAAAAAAAAAAATCCATAGAATTAATAAACAAAACCTGGCTGGGCAGGGTGGCTCAGACTTGTAATCCCAGTACCTTGGGAGGCTGAGGTGGGAGGATCACTTGAACCCAGCAGTTTGAGACCAGCCTGGGCAACATAGCAAGACCCCATCTCTATTTAAAAGAAAAAATTTAAAAAAATAATAAACAAGACCTAAAGGTTTTACAGTTTAACTCTTTTTTTTTTTTTTTTTTTTTTTTGGAGACAGGGTCTCACTCTGTCACCCATCAAAGGTGCAATCCTCCCAACACAGCCTCCCGAGTAGCTGGGACCATAGGTACATGCCACGACACCCAACCTTTTTTTTTTTTTTTTTTTTTTGAGACAGTTTCACGCTTGTTGCCCAGGCTGGAGTGCAGTGGCATGATCTTGGCTCACTGCAACCTCCGCCTCCCAGGTTCAAGCAATTCTCTTGCCTCAGCCTTCCGAGTAGCTGGGATTACAGGCATGCACCACCATGCCTGGCTAATTTTGTATTTTTAGTACAGACGGGGTTTCTCCATGTTGGTCAGGCTGGTCTTGAACTTTCGACCTCAGGTGATCTGCCCACCTCGGCCTCCCAAAGTGCTGGGATTACAGGCATGAGCCACTGCGCCCAGCATTTTTTTAATTTTTAGTAGAGACAAGGTCTGGTTATGTTGCCCAGGCTGGTCTTGAACTCCTGAGTGCAAATGATCCTCCCACCTAGACCTCCCAAAGTGCTGGAAGTACAGGCGTGAGTCACCTCACCTGACTCCATAATATTTTAAAAGAATGGTGAGAATTAAACACTATACACACAAAGTATATTAAGAAAGTATAGGCCTGGCGTGGTGGCTCACGCCTGTAATCCCAGCAATTTGGGAGGCTGAGGTGGGTGGATCACCTGAGGTCAGGAGTTCAAGACCAGCCTGGCTAACATGACCAAACCCTGTCTCCACTAAAAATACAAAAATTAGCTGGGCCTGGTGGTGGGCGCCTGTAGTCTCAGCTACTTGGGAGGCTGAGACAGGAGAATTACTTGAACTCAGGAGGCAGAAGTTGAAATGAGCAGAGATCACACCATTGCACTCCAGCCTGGGCAACAGGGTGAGACTCTGTCTCAAAAAAAAAAAAAAAAAAAAAAAGTATATTTGGGGCCAGGCAGCTCACACGTGTAATCCCAGCAGTTTCGGAGGCCAAGGTGGGCAGATCAATTGAGCCCAGGAGTCCAAGACCAGCCTGGGCAACCTGACAAAAACCCATCTCCACAAAAAAAATACAAAAATTAGCTGGGCATGGTGGCACATGCCTGTGGTCTCAGCTACTCAGGAGACTGAGGCACGAGGATCACTTGAGCCACGGAGGTGGAGGTTGCAGTGAGCTGAGATCATGCCACTGCTCTCCAGCCTGCACTGCACTCCAGCCTGGGCGACAGAGGGAGACCCTGTCTCAAATAAATAAATAAATAAGCATATTTGTCAATAAACATTTAAAAATATTTGATAAGACAAGTATAAATGTATATTAGCAAAATCATGAATGATCTTGGACCCTGGAGAGATTTCATTTCTAATTTTACATCAGTACAACAGCTTTCATTTTCTTAAATCCCTGATCAAGCAGAAATGCTTGAAAAGAAAGAGCACAGCAGGCCAGGCGTGGTGGCTCATGCCTGTAATCCCAGCACTTTGGAAGGCCAAGGTGGGTGGATCACCTTAGGTCAGGAGTTCAAGACCATCCTGGCCAACATGGTGAAACCTGTCTCCAATAAAAATACAAAAATTAGGTGGGCGTGGTGGCACAAGCCTGTAATCCCAGCTACTGGGGAGGCTAAGGCACAAGAATTGCTTGAACATGGGAGACGGAGGTTGCAGTGAGCCAAGATCATGCCACTGCAACTGCACTCTAGCCTGGGCAATAAGAGGGAGACTCCGTCTCAAAAATAAATAAATAAATAAATAGCAGGCAGGCGCAGTGGCTCACGCTTGTAATCCCAGCACTTCGGGAGGCGAGGTGGGAGGATCACCTGAAGTTGGGAGTTCGAGACCAGCCTTACCAACATGGAGAAACCTCATCTCTACTAAAAATACAAAATTAGCTGGGTGTGGTGGCAGGCACCTGTAATCCCAGCTACTCGGGAGGCTGAGGCAGGAGAATTGCTTGAACCAGGGAGGCGGAGGTTCCGGTGAGCGTGAGATCACGCCATTGCACTCCAGCCTGGGCAACAAGAGCAAAACTCTGTCTCAAAAATAAATAAATAAATAAAATAAAAATAAATAAATAGCACAGCACCTTGCTTTGACCCCAGTTGTTTGTGAAATACAGACAATCTTACCACCCGGGCACTTCCAGGGCTCCCTGTCTGCATGTCCTTCACTTTCTACTTTACATTAGGATTATCCGTGGCAAATACGCCCAGAACCTCCTGGAGAGCAGAGTCTACATCAGATCATCTTTGTGACCCTTAAGGGCACCCAGGGCCACCCCAGAGATTCTGATTTAATCGGCCAAGCTAAGCATGGGATTGAATCAGGTTTCAGTATATTTTAGAAACCTCCAACAGTGTGGACTGAGAACTGCTGAGTCCTAACTCATTCTTGGTGCTAAAAAGTATTTATTGAATCAATGGATAAATTAACACAGTGCCATCTCTTGATAGTCACAACAAGAAAAGCAGCTGGGAAATAGTATCCACATTTTACAGTTGGAAAAACAAACTCAGAAAGCAAAGACCATTCTCATCATCACCTCGGTGGAGCCAGTAGCCCTAGGAAATATTCCACCCCACCAGAGAGAGCTACTGTCTACACAAGAGCAGTGTTCCTCAGCTTCTGCCAGGGTGGGGGCTTGAGACTAAGAATGGAGGTATAGGCAGAGGTGAGGGTTTCAGCGTGGGTTTCAAGTCTGTCTCCCTGGTTCTGTGGGTAATTCTCAGGAGGGTGGAGGGAAGGGAGGGTGCAGGGATTGGTTGGGGTTGCCCTGTCCATCGGGCTGTGTCGCTGACATAAAATCCAGATAGAAAAGCTAAGAACTCTACCGGTATTCTACCCCGGAATACCCCGCCTCCGCTGCCAGGAGGGAGAGCTCCCAGATATCCAGGTCAGACTCTCCTCATTCTTGAATTATCTGCACAGTCCCTCCCACGTCTCAGCCTAGAAAAGCTTCTGACTCCTGGGCCTCAAACTGCAATGCACCTTTCAGTGCAATAGGAGCTATCCAATCTCCAGCCGCGTCCATCCGCCCACTCGAGCCCACCTGTTTGCGGACCACAGAGCGGCAGCACATCCCTACACGGGGCTGTCAGGCAAGGTCAACGCGCTAGAGTGCAAGAGCCTTTGCTTTGAGGATTGCCGCAGCGCCGGGTGTGGGCGCAGGTGGGGATAGAGTGCTGGGTTTTGAAAGAGTGACCCGCAAAGCTGAGGGTGCAGAGCAAGACACAGATCTGGGAAGAGCAGAGAAAAAACGCTGCTGCTTCTGAACCCCTCCCACCTCGCATCACCTGACAAGTCTCTCAAGGTCTGGTGTCGGGAAACCCCACCTCTTCAAAGCCCCGCCCTTCGAAACACCAGAAAGTAACCCCCCTGCCCGGCCCTGCTTTCCCCCTACCCCCTGCCAAGCTGCAGTTTTTTTTTTGTTTTTTTTTTTAACTGGGTGAGGGCTAGAAGGAGCGGTAGAGATTGATTCATTCTAGCCAAACCACCTCTCTTAACAAAAAAAGGAAACTGAACCCCGATTGGCGAAATGTCTTGCTCAAGTCCATAAAGCGAGACCACCGGCTGATCTGGACCCTTAGAATCTACCCACCCTTCTCCACCTCCCCTCCCCAGCTACCTGTTGCCATGGTGATGAGAACAGGCTCCTGCTGAGGCTCTGGCTGTGGTCGCAAGAGGCTGGAGAGGCTGAGGACTGGGCTGGATATGCTGACCATCAGCCAAGCCCCATCCAGGGCCCGCGGGCAGTTCTGCGCGGGGGTCAGGCCGCTGGCCCATTTCGCAGAGGCGGGGAGAGGCACGAAGCGGCTCATCTCGCAGTGTGGTGCGGGGGCGCCCCGGGGATACCGCCTGAAGGCAGCCTGGAGGGCGCCCGCGGGGTCTGAGTGTAGAGAAGGAAGTTGCAGCTGTAGAGTCACCGCCGGGAAAGGGGCTGGAAGGGCAGCGTTCGGGGAACTTCAAATGCACAGACTACCCCGTAGTGAGACTCACTTTACAAAGGGGAAGCTGAGGCCTGAGGTCACTGCCGGATCTAAAGAGGAGGGGGTTTCGGTGGAGGCGACAGAGGTAGGGGGGCGGCGAGTCCCTAGAGACTCACCGTGTACACTGAGATAGAGCTCAGGGTCGAGGTCCGGCCGGGGCGGCGGTTCCCCCGGTCCCTGGCGCAACAGCAGTGCACCGGGTCTCTTGGCCAGGCCCTTTCCGCTCGCATCCTCCACGAACCAACACTCGATCACCGCGGGTCCTGCTGAGACGGCGGTCGCCAGGCCTGGCGTATAGGGACGCGAGTGAGGAGCGGTTTGTATGTCTGGTGACCTGCCCCACTCCCACCCTGGCATCGGCTCCAGTGGGGCCACCTCCCTCCGCTTCCCTCTAGTTCTTGGGCGATGAGTCGCGGGGTTCGCTCACCCAAAGCCACAGCGAGGAGCAGAGACAGGGACTTCATGGCGCTGCGACCTCCTCAGCCATTTAGCCTCCTCTTCCTCCTTTCACTTTCACTTTCCTCCAAAGGGCGGCATGAGGGGCGGTGGAAATCCCCGCTCTGGTTAGGTGAAGGTGCCTGGGGGACCGGTGTTTCCCCACTGGCCAGGCAGGGACCCGGGTAGATCCTCTCCAGTTCTCACCAGGATACCCCAGCCTTACCGCGCCCTCCTGGACTACCCAGCAGCCCCGAGTTCGAGCCCTCCCCAACCCCAGGCCCTCCCCCGCCCCCCAACTCCTGTGTGTGCTCTCCAACATCCACTTGCCCGAAAACCATTACTCCGGCTTCCCCCTATCTGTGCCGCGTCCCCAGCAAACACACGGGTTGTCGGGAAGCCAAGTAAATGACCAATAAATATTTTAATCACTGTTAAAAAAAATAAAAACCTTGTACTCCTACGACTTACTCCCTCCTTGTCTCCACCCACTCCTCCATGAGAACCGAGTTGGGAATTTCCACGGGAAGTCGGGGGTGGCGGGGAGAGACAGGGTAGAAATAAAGAGCGCATCCTTGAGAGGGGGTAGGTTCTAGGACAAGGGTGGGGCTCAAAGGCCTTGTCTCCACGACAACACAAACACAGACTTCAGGCACAGACTACAACCACCTGACCCCTGACCCTGTGACTGCAGGATGTTCAACACGCCCCCTCTCCCTCCCTCCATGTGCAATCTACTCTGTGGAGCAGGGGCTTCAGTGTACCCATCAGAGGGAAAGGAAGGGTTTAGTTCTGGAAATACCTTGGGGGGGAGGGGTTGAGTAGTAGAATGGGCGGGTGATGGTGAAACTGTGGTTCCCCTTCCAGAATATATACAAGTCCACAGAGATAAAGGAAGACAGTAAGTGTGGTGGGAGATCACCCGGGGGCCACAGCGCCCTTGCATCGTGCTCCTTATTCCCTTTCCCGAAAGCTACCCCACCCCAGTAGCCTGCCCCTTCAGTTTGCTCCTCCACCTCCACCGAAGCCCATCTCCACCTTGTGGACTCTGGGTGGGGACCAGACACGTCTGCTGGACGGGGGCGTGGCCGCACTCGCTTCGTCGCCGCTGCCCCCGCCCACTCCGGGAGACTCTCTCTTGGACGGCAAGGATGGCCCCGTGGGAGTCCCAGGCCCAGGTACGGCCCCGACCCCGCCCAGGCGGTGCCGGCGCTCACAGTGTCCTCGGTGGCGCATGAAGCTGTCTCGCCACATGAACTTCTTGGCGCAGACTCCGCACTCGTAGGGCTTGAGACCTGTGTGCGTCTTCATGTGCTCAGTCAGATGGTGCTTCATCTTGAACTTTTTGTTGCACACGGGGCAGTCAAACGGCCGCAGATTGAGGTGCATGTTCACGTGCCGGTCCCGCATGCTCTTGTGGGAGAAGGCCTTCCCACAATGGCACAGAAAGATCTTATTCCCGTCCCCACTGCCAGTCCCTCCAGGGACCCCACCAACGCTACCCGGCACACCCAGGCTCCCCACCGACGTGCCCCCCACGGTCACTGCCCCGTGTTCTGCTTGGTTCCCTGGTGGTTGGCCAGGAGCCTGTGAGGATGAGGATGAAGACGACGACGGGAAGACCAGGATCTGGTTGCCCTGCATGTCCAAGGGAAGGAGCGGTCGAGGAGGGTGGGAGGGGGCATAGGAAGAGGGAGTTGGCCCCCCTGAGTCATCAAGACCTGCCACAGGACCCCCACCCTCATATGGGCCAAAGTCATTGGAGGACTCACAGAAGTTGACCTGCTCCTCCCCCTTGTCTGGGGGCTCACTCAGGGTACGGACATCACTTATGCTGAGGGTAGCCTCAGGCCCTCCCCCCACTGGAACCCTGGAGCTACCCCCTAGTTCTTCATCTTCATCATCCTCACAGGTCAACACCAGATCTTCCTCCTCCTCTTCCTCCTCCAGATCTGGGTCTTGGGGAACCAGGGGTGCTGGCGCTGGGCAATTACCACCTCGCTTCACGTATACCCAGTGTTTCTGTGGCATGATGCTAGGGGGTGTGTAGGTGGGTCTCCGGAGCCCAGCCCCAGGAACCACTGCCCCCCTCCCATCCCCACCATCATCGCACAGCTCATCTGCCTCCAGCAGCAGCTTTCCAGATGTGGCCCCTCCACTGCCAACGACAGGGGCTGGGAATACAGGGCCACCTCCTCGACGCTCCCCACTGCCCACTGCAGAAGCTGCAAATGCCTCTTGGGAGGAAGATGAGAAATCAGTGGACTCCCTGGGGCTGAAGTAGTTGCTGCTGCTGGGAGATTGATTCTCACTGGCCCGGCTGGAGGCATGGGAGCGCGCAGAGCCCATGGTAGCAGGGGCCACAGTGCCCCCACTCCCGGATGGCACCCCAGCACCAGGGACAGTGACAGAGGTGGCTGCAGCAGTAGTGATGGTGGTGGTAGCTGAGGCCCGGCCTTCTCGGAGTAGTTCAGTGCACTTGTCCACAATGTGCCACATTTGGAGCACAGACCCCACTGTAAGGAAGTTGACAATGTCAGCAGCAGCCATGCTGAGGCGGCCAGTGTAAGCGGAGGCTAGGACAGTCTCAAAGGCGCCTGGGTCCATGACACTGGGCAGCGAGATGGAGGTCATGCCTTTGAGTAGGACCTGATCATGGAAGTAAGGGGAGGAGGCAGCCAGGACAGCCCGATGAGCCCGGAACTCCCGGCCCTGCACTCTGATAGATACATCGCAGAGCTGGCCCTGCAGACGCTGCTGATTGAGGGACTCCAAGAGGGCACTGGTCACCTCAGGGAAGGACACATGTACCACTGCAGCTGCTGGCAGGGGTAGTGGGGGCGGAGCCAGCGACAGCGGCAGGGGAAGTGCTGCCCCACTGGGAGACAGAGGAGATGGCTCCATGTTGTGGAGGGAGGGGATACCCCCCCAGCCACAGGAACAAAGAAAGGAGGAGGGCGGCCGGGGGGGTCTCTGGGAAGAAAAAGAGAAAAGAATAATGATAACATCTCATAACGACACAGCCCGTTACAACTCAAAAATATGTTCACGCTCATTATCTGTGTAACTCCCCACAACAGTGAGGTAGGTATTCCTCTCAACCCCATTTGACAGATGAGGAAACTAAAGCTCAGAAAGATTAAGAGATTATCCAAGGTCACACAGCAAGTGGCAGCGCCAGCAAACACAGGTATCTGACAAATCTTGTGCCCTTTCCTTGGAGGTTAGAGAAATAAGGTGCTCTTAGGGGCTGGAGTGGCTTCCTTCGGAATTATACCCTATTTCCGACTTACCTGAGAGCCTGACATTCCAAAATCTACCTTTTTGGTGTTTTGCACCCACTTTTTGGGAGGGGGCAGGGCAGCTCTGCTACTGAAAACCAACGCTTGCTCCATCTCCCCTCAGGCTATGCCCCCCAAGCTCTCTCGCCGACCACGCCCCCTTTCGCCCCAGCTTCTCTAGCCCCGCCCCTTTCCAGGCCCACCCCCCCCGTGCCCCGCCCACTATCGGGCCTTTCGACCCCGCCCCTTGTCTACCTCCGCCCACAACGGACCCCGCCCCCCCCCGCTCCGCCCCAAGCGCTACCTCGGCCTCTTCTCCCACCCGGAAGGCGCCCCCCAACCTCGCGCGTCCCCGCTTACCGGGCCGCGCGCCCCCGGGCCCCCCCCGCCCCTCACTCGGCGGCCAGAGCAGCAACCTGGGCCCCTCCCGCCGCCATCTTGCGCCGACTCCCTCCGCCCTCCGCCTCCGCTCCGCCTCCCGCCCCTCCGCCTTTAAAGGCACAGCCGGGCACCCCGCCCGTGCCGCTGGGCAATACTCGGCCGACTCGGCCACTTTGCCTTTAAAGAAACATCGCCACATTCCACCTTAAAAGATCAGGTCCCCTCCTCCGCTGGGAGCTCAGGACTTGGTTCGGCCGAAGCATTTATTCCCCTTTAAAGCTATAAGCCTGCCTTTTCCCATTGGCGATGGGTCCAGGTATCGTTCCCCAGGCTCCGCCTCTGAGCTGTGACCATTAGCTGGTTGGTGGGATCTAATCGCCCTCTTCCTAGCTCCTTACAGTCCCACTGAAGCCCCGCCCCCTTTCTCCGGGCCTGGATTGGCTAAATAACCTTGAGTCGGCCCCTCATTGGCTTTCTCACTCCTACTGCACGAAGTGAAAAAGTAAAGTGCGTTAAGGCGGCTGAAGCACTTAAAAAAAAAAAAAAGTACTGCCTGAACAACGTGGCGAAACCCCGTCTCTACAAAAAATACAAACAACAAAAACAAAAATTAGCCAGGCATGGTGGCACGCGCCTGTAGTCCCGGCTACTCGGGAGGCTGAGGCATTATCGCTTGAGACTGGGAGGTCCAGGCTGCAGTGAGCTGTGATCTCACCACTGCACCCTGGCCTGGGCGACACAGCGAGACAAAAAAAAAAAAAAAAAAAAAAGGCCAGGCTAGAAAGGACAGAGCGGGACTACCCCGGGGATACTGGGCTAACCCTGAGCAAGGGGACAGCTAATGCCAATCTGTAACAGTAGAAGGACAAGAAAAAGACAGTGATACAGTAAGAAAAGAACTTTATTGTTTATTAATGTTTCTGTGTAAAACTTAAGCTTTTTTTTTTTTTTTTAAAGAAACACCACCAAAAGGGGATTAGCTTAGTCCATCCCTTCCTCAGTCATCTGCTTCCCACCTTCCTCCAAATGTTATCCCAGAACATTCTGGAGGCAGGGAGAAGGGGAGGCAGCTAATCAGAGTCTGAGAGCACGATGATCTCTTCTGGATCGCATTGTGTGGCCACACTTGTCTGCAGGGAAGTGAGAGACAAAGAGTCAAAGAGATCTGGAGTACAGGAGAAAAGAAACAGGAGGATTTAGAGGATAAAATGGGTGGGAAAAAGGAAGAGACAGGATGTGGCACGTGGAATATTCAGACAGAGCAGCTGAAACAGCCAATGAAAGAGAACAAATTGTCAGAGGAAACACGCCCTCCCCTTCTTACCTTGCAAGTACCAGGCCGAGGAGGCTGTGAATGGGGGGTTTGGGACAGCCGGGCTGGAGAAGGGATGCAGAGGGAGCTGGTCACCAGGCCATGGCTGGGAGAGTCCACCCTCGTGGAGGAATCAGCAACTGGGGCCAAGGAAGCCAAGGGGGAAGGTGGGCTGGGCAGGGTACATATCTTTTTCCCATTCTTCTCATGCACTGACCTTTGCCTTTCCACATAGCTAGAAACAGAAACATAAATATGTGGAGGGGTACGGGAAGACTGAGGCTGGAGGGGGGCAGTCCAGTCTCTCCCAGCAGACTCAGTTCCCCAGTATTGCTCTCCGAAAGTCCCCTGCAATCCCTCCTTGGCTTCCCTCTTCCTCCTCCTCTTGTTATTACCTGTTTCCTAATGGCCCTGATCCTGTTTGCTTCTTCTCCTTCCGAGATTTTTTGCAGGGGGGACCAGAATCTCCCCAGTTGTGAGGAGAGACGCCTCCATTGAAGGAAGTAGAAGAGACCATGCCTGCTCCATTCTCTAAGACAGTGGTGAAGGGCTCCTCTGATTGCTTCCTGGAAGAGGAAATGTCCGTCTCCACAGAGGAAGGGGTATCCAGGGGCAAAGCTTCAATCTCTAGCTCAAAGAGCTGAGACACAGGGCTTTCTTCCTCCAGGGTCAGCTCCTCAGGCTGTTCTCCATTGCTTTCAGCATCTATGCTGGAGGGGGCCAGGGGTTCTTCTGACAGTAACGATGGTGACACTATGCGTCCTTTGTTTTGCTGCTCCCCTGAAGATCTGCTGATCTGTTTGCCAGGTTCCAGGTTCTTTTCATTGGAGATCTGTAGTGAGGACATGGGGCTCTTGTCTCCATCTTTACCTGGAAAAGAAGAAAAGGGGAGAGGGTAGCCTGAGAATGAGGGGGAAAAAATACTGCTGAGAGGACACTAGGAGGAGGAAGGGAAAGGTTTCAAACAGGTGGCTCATGCCTAACAAAACAGAAATGACAGGTGAGGAGAATGTTCCCTTGACATACCTGCTGCTGCTTCTTCCTCTTCGTCCTCCTCTTCATCATCCTCCTGACCCTCCTGCATCTGTTCCAGATCCTCCTCCTCTTCAGAATCTGTGGCCTCCTCCTCTTCTTCTTCCTCCTCCTCCTCCTCTTCCTCATCACTCTCCTCATCGTCTTCGTCATCTGTCTCAGCTCTGGAGGCAGAAGGGCACCCCTGGGATGCCATTCCACTAGGGCCCTGGGAGACAAAGAAGTTTCTCTAAGGAATCCCTTGCCCCAGAGGGTTTGGTTCTTGCTTTCCTTCTCATGCTACCCCATCAGTCAACCTGGACTCCCTGGTGGCCAGTGCAGGGGAAGGACAATGTCTCTCTGAAGGCTGTACCCCATCCACACCTCACCAGAATCCAAGGAGGCTTCGGGGGTGTCTGCAGAGTGGGAAGAGGTGCCTTGGAGCCGAGCTCTTCTCTTTTTTCTCTCGCCCTCCTCACTTTTGTCTTGCAACATTGCGTATTTGGAGATGACCTCATCCAGCCGACTCATGGCCAAACTCCGGTTTTCCCGAAGGCGCCGGGCCAACACAGGATCTGATAGTGCAGGGTCAACGCCTACGTGGGAAGACATAAAGTCAGAGCACTCAGCCCTTGAAGGGACTAGAAGAGTAAAAACCCTAGAAAGGACTAGAGAGATGCCCCATCCGCCTCATACCTGACATATAAGGGTCACTGAGAGGCATCCCACCAACCCCCTACCTGGCCTATAGTCATCTGTGAGGTGGCAGCCAAAGTTGTAGATGAGATCGAGGTGACGTCGCTCCTGTAACCTGATGCCCACATCTCGGAAGGCATCCTGAGCCATGAGCTGGAGCTGCTGTCGGGGGAGGCCAAGGCTGTGTCGGGCAGCTGCCTTCTCTACAGCCCGAAGCACATCCCCATAGTCAGGGAAGGTATCAGGCCCTGGCTTGTTGATGAGCCGCTCAATGCGCCTGTTAACCTCTGGGTAGCGGGTGCCACGGTAGGGGATGCGCTGCTCTATGACACGGCCGGTCAGTGAAGAGCAGTCTTTCAGCTCACATAGTCGCCCAAAGAGGCGGATCAGCTTACGCTTCAACCGTGCCTCCTGCAGGTATGCGGAGTCTGGGTCATCCAATTCTGAGAGATCCAACTCCTTTTCCTGCAGCCGCCGGATCTCTGCCACATAGAGCGCCAGCAGCTGCTCCAAACGCTGGATCTGCCGCCGGGAACCACGGGTCCTTGGAGACTGAGAGGCAGTGTTTTCAGCATTTGTGGGGTCCAAGGAGAGGTGTGTGGGAGGGTTATTCCCAGAGGGCTCATTGGAGGTGGTGGCGGCAGGGGCCAAGTTCAGCTTCTTTTTGGCTGAGTGGGCCTTGAGAACAGTGCAGAGCTCATTGATGTAGACATAGAGCTTGGCTGGCCGGCTCCGGGCCCGAGACAGGACCCTAGAGAGGATGTTGCAGAACTCCGCCGAGGCCAAAAACAGAGAGTGGGCACGTTGCTGCCGGTTATAGAGGAATGGGACCACCTCAGGGTGGTCTGCTGTCTGCATCTTACAAAGTTCAAGGAACTAGAAGGTTCAGGGGAAGAAGGAAGGGGAAGAGAGACAAGGGAGGGGGTTGAGAGAAAGGGGAGGTGGGGTTAGTGGGAAAGAAAGGACAGGAGAACCAGTCAGCCATCCCCCTCCCTGGGGTACAACAATCTTCCCCGCTAAAGCTCACCTCTTCGAACAGCTTCTCATTCTCCAGCTTGTAGCATTTCTTGCCGCCCGAACTACTGCTTCCTCTGGCCCCATGAGGCTCAGAGGAGCTAGGGGCTTCTGCCCCAGGTGAGGCCGCATTGGGGAGTGGGTGGGAGGGCCCTGGCTGAGCAGCTGCTTCATCTTCGTCATCATCATCCAGCACGATGATGCTGTTAGCGGTGGCCATAGGGGATCAAATCCCCCGGAGGGAGGAAGTGGTGGGGATTTCAGAATTCCTGCTGGAAGGGGATGGGGCCTCAGAATGAGCCCCTCCAGCATAGCCCCATCCCTTCACCTCACACATTTTCTGAACTCCTTGGGTTTCAGTAACATCCAGCCCTGACCAACACTGTCTTCACCACCTGATTTCAATAACCATTAGTTCTATATGCTTTTTGGGGCCCTTCAAGTGGTGTGGGGGGGGGGGGCAAACCACCCCCACACCTTAAGTTGCCACCTTCTGCTCCACCCCTCACGTCGATTTCCGGTCTTTCTGTTGCATTTCCCCCCTATTTCTTAGAGTTGGCAAGTTGATTCTTCCTCCCACACTGCACCCCAAATCGTCCTGACACCCCCTTGCACAGACAACACACTCCTGTGGGCGCCACCTCATGTGTTTGCCCCCTCTGCTCTCAAACAAGTCAACCCCACACCCACCCTATCCTGAATGATCACCCCAACTCCTAGACTCTCTGAGGTGAAAGAGGTTCCCTCCCAACAGTCCGTTCTCTTTTCTCCTCCTTGAATTATCTCCATATTTCACCCTCCGATGAGTCTCCTCAAACTGGGGCTTTAGGTTGAAGATATTTTACCCAAGTCCCCTCCCTTTCACCCCACCCTAATTTTCCCCATTCTCTCGGTGACCCGTAACTGATCAAAAGTCCCCCCACACCGCGCTACGCTCTCGCGATTCCTCTTAGATCCCAACCGTGGGTCCGGCCGGTCCGCTAGATGCGCTTCCCGCCAAATCCCCCTCCCCCAGTTCAGCCCCCGGCCGCTCCACTCCCTTTCAGGGACAGGAAGGTACCACAGCATTCCCCTCAGACTCAGCGCCCAGCTCTCCCCAATACCTCTCCCTCTATATCCCCGCCCCCGCCTCTGATCCCCGCACCGTCCGGCCCCCACCTCAGAAACCGTCTCTCGAGGCGACCCTCGCCGCAATTCTCAGAACCTCGCATGGTTCCCTCCGCCTTCCTTCCCACTCCCACCGCAGGCCCCACTACGGACCGGAAGTCACAGAGTTTCCGCCTTCATGCAACTAAGCGCCGCCATATTGTCGTACGGAACACAGGCTTCCTGTGGCCGGAGGTGGCAGTAGGCCCGCCCCGCGAACACCTCCAGTGCGGCCCACATAGTCAACGGTCTCTTCCAGGTCGGAGTTTGTCTCCCCGAACCCAGGCGTCCCAAAGCAGCTGGGGGCCGCCATTTTGCCGTACGGCACTGGCTACGCCCGGACTCCGGTGCGCAGCCAGTGGAGCTCTTTTCACCCGGTGCTTCTACGACTCCGCCAATCAGAAACTTCCTGCCTGGGGCCCAACCGCCGGAGAGTAGCGCGTAGGGAGGACCGAGCCTCGTTTCCAAGGAGGGGCAGGGGAACCGAACAGGGTGGATTAGGAATTGGGCTTTCCAAAGCTGTGCAGAGTTTCAGGGAAGGGCAGAAGTCTCTTAAAAGGGAAGTAAAACCTTTTCTTTCAGTTGGGCTATTGGCAAGCTATCTGGCCCTGCTTTCCTGTCCCCCAGGTTCCCATTTCCACGGCTTATTCGGCTGACCCAGCCCCTTCCCCTGCAAGGGCGGCGCGCTCCTTGCCGCTGTCCA
This sequence comes from Homo sapiens, assembly GCF_000001405.40. NCBI lineage: Eukaryota > Metazoa > Chordata > Mammalia > Primates > Hominidae > Homo > Homo sapiens. Next base: position 4,567,072 of record NT_167245.2, read on the forward strand.
GCAGCTGTTTCTACTGCCAGGTGCTGCGTCCCGCGATCGTTATAACACATGCGTACAAATGAGCACAACGCGCCATAAAAGTGTTATTGTTATTACTATTGTTGCTGATTTGCTTTTCAAGCTTCACCACAGAACTAATGACCAGCCAGACCGTTGGGACCTGAATGGTTCTTCTCCAGAGGGGGTCCTCGAAGGGCCGTCTGTGCTGACCAGGTGGCCGTGCTTTGTCGTGGGAGGCCTAGGGTCTGCGGATGGGCGATGATGGGGTGGGGCTTGGAGGAGAGTTTGTGCAAATTGCCGCTGCGAGGGCTGCTGTGAGGCGAAATGAGGCTCATAAAATACTTTGGGTCTCCTCCTCCTCCTCTTCGGGGAGAGGGGAAAAAAGAATGAAGGATGAAGAAACAGATTTGATACCCACCTCGTTGTGTTTAGGGAGGCTGGAGGGACTCGTGGAGGCAAGGCTGGGTCCAGAGGTGAGCTTATGAGGAAACCAGAAAGATTAACAGGGTCCCAATCGCTAAGATGCCCATTTCCACAAGTGGTGGGCATCTTGCCACTTAACTAGGGTCACAGAGCTTATTAGATCCCTAACGCTGAGTCCTAGAATCGCAAACACCCGTCCGTTGAACAATCCCACATCACTTCTCTCCAGTCGTCAAAGTCTACAGCTTTCAAAATGGGGAACATAAAAACTCTCCGCGAGGACTGGGACTTGGAAGATGTAAGGGATTTAATTTCAAGAACCTCAACTTTCCCAAAATTGGTCTTCCTAAGGAAACACCTGCAGTACAGGTTCTCATTCTTCACTTCTCCTTTTACAATAGAGTCACCCTCTTAAGAAAAAAAAAAAAAGAATAGTTCTCTTTTTTCCCCTCCCCCCTCAAAAGTATAGTTCTCAACCATGAAATCTCCTGGGGGTAATCTTACCTGTTTAAAATAAAGGGAAATGTACCCTGTTTCTTTCACCAAGGCACCATGAATACCACCTTTTCTTTTTTTTTTTTTTTTTTCCTTTCTTTTGTCTTTTTTTTTTTTAAATGCAGGGTCGGCCGGGCGCGATGGTTCACGCCTGTAATCCCAGCACTTTGGGGGTCCGAGGTGGGCGTATCATGGGGTCAAGAGATCGAGACCATCCTGGCCAACATGGTGAAACCCCGTCTCTACTAAAAATACAAAAAAATTAGCTGGGCGTGGTGGCAGGCGCCTGTAGTTCCAGCTACTCAGGAGGCTGAGGCAGGAGAACCGCTCGAATCCGGGAGGCGGAGGTTGCAGTAAGCCGAGATCGCGTCATTGCACTCCAGCCTGGGCGACAGAGCGAGATTATCTCAAAAAAAAAAAAAAAAAAAAAAAAAAAAAAAAAAAGGAAAAAAAAAGGGTCTTGTTCTATCACCCAGGCTGGAATGCGGTGGTACGGTCATAGCTCACTGTAACCTCAAATTCCTGGGCTCAAGCCATCCTCCCACCTCAAGTAGCTAGGACTACAGGCGCACACCACCTCACCTGGCTAATTTTTTTAAAATAAGTTTTTTGTGGAGGCTGGGCGCGGTGGCTCATGCCTGTGATCCCAGAACTTTGGGAGGCCGAGGCGGGCGGATCACCTGAGGTCAGAAGTTTGAGACCAGCCTGGCCAACATGGTGAAACCCCGTCTCTACTAAAAACACAAAAATTATCTGGGCTTGGTGGCACGCGCCTGTAGTCCCAGCTACTCGGGAGGCTGAGGCAGGAGAATCGCTTGAACCCGGGAGGCGGAGGTCGCAGTGAGCTGAGATCAGCCACTGCACTCCAGCCTGGCGACAGAGCAAGACTCTGTCTCAAAAAAAAAAAAAAAAAAAAGGTTTTTTATAGCGACAGGGTCTTACTGTGTTGCCCAGATGGATCTTGAGCTCCTTGCCTCAAGCAATCTTCCCACCTCAGCGTCTCAAAGTGCTGGGATTATGGGCGTGAACCGCCACTCCCAGACTACTATCTTATTAAATATTTCTTTTTAACAGTTATAAAAATGTTTACGATCGGCCAGGCACGGTGGCTCACGCCTGTAATCCCAGCACTTTGGGAGGCCGAGGCAGGAGGATCACGAGGGCAGGAAATCGAGACCACCCTGGCTAACACGGTGAAACCCTGTCTCTACTAAAAATACCAAAAAAAAAAAAAAAAAAAATTAGCTGGGCGTGGTGGTGGGCGCCTTGTAGACCCAGCTACTCCGGAGGCTGAGGCAGGAGAATGGCGTGAACCCGGGAGGCGGAGCTTGCAGTGAGCCGAGATCGCGCCACTGCCCTCCAGCCTGGGCGACAGAGCGAGACTCCGTCTTAAAAAAAAAAAAAAAAGTGTACGATCACATGTTTATAAGAACATTCTGTTCTTATAATAATTGTAACAGTAACTCCTCCAGAATAATTTTTAACAACTAGAGTCTTACAATCACAAGAAAGATATTTTTCATCTCAATTAATATACATGTATATGCAGGAAGATGTAAAAGATTGGTCAATAAAGGACTTTCAAGTATAAAAGCATAAAGTTTGTGGGGAAGTGGAGTAGTAGTAGGAGCTCAAGGAAAAAAGAGGTGATGAAAGAAAAAAGGAATGATTCCCAACTGGTAAGAACTAATTTATACTTTTTTTTTTTTTTTGAGATGGAGTCTTGCTCTGTCGCCCAGGCTGGAGTTCAATGGCACAATCTCTGCTTACTGCAACCTCCCACTCCCGGGTTTAAGCGATTCTCCTGCCTCAACCTCCTGAGCAGCTGGGATTACAGGCACACAACACCATGCCCAGCTAATTTTTTGTATTTTTTGTATTTTTTTTTTTTTAGTGGATATGGGTTTTTGGCATGTTGGCCAGGCTGGTCTCAAACTCCTGACCTCGTGATCCACCCAACTCAGCCTCCCAAAGTGCTGGGATTACAGGCGTGAAGCACCGTGCCCGGCCATCACTATGATATTTCAATTCCACTGGACAATAAATGGTGATCTAATTGTTTTATTTTAAAATGTGGGGCCAGGCATGGTGACTCATGCCTGTAATCCTACCACTTTGGGAGGCCGAGGCGGGCAGATCACTTGAGGTCAGGAGTTCGAGACCAGCCTGACCAACATGAGGAAACCTCGTCTCTACTAGAGATACAAAAAATAGCCAGGCGTGGTCGTGGGCGCCTGTAATCCCAGCTATTTGGGAGCTGAGGCAGGGGAATCCCTTGAATTTGGGAGGCAAAAGTTGCAGTGAGCCAAGATCACGCCACTGCACTCCAGCCTGGGCGATAGAGCAAGACTCTGTCTCAAAAAATAAAAAAATAGGCCGGGCGTGGTGGCTCAAACCTGTAATCCCAGCACTTTGGGAGGCCGAGGCAGGCAGATCACCTGAGGTCAGGAGTTCGAGACCAGCCTGCCCAACATGATGAAACCCCGTCTCTACTAAAATTACAAAAAAATTAGCTGGGTGTAGTGGCGGGCGCCTGTAGTCCCAGCTATTTGGGAGGCTGAGGCAGGAGAATCGCTTGAACCCGGGAGGCAGAGGTTGCCGGAAGCCAAGATCGCACCACTACACTCCAGCATGGGCAACACAGAGAGACTGTGTCTCAAAAAAATAAATAAATAGGCCAGGTGCAGTGGCTCATGCTGTAATTCCAGCACTTTGGGAGGCCGAGGCAGGCAGATCACGAAGTCTAGGAGTTCGAGACCAGCCTGGCCAATATGGTGACACCCCCGTCTCTACTAAAAATACAAAAATTAGCTGGGCGTGGTGGCTCGCGCCTTTAGTCCCAGCTACTTGGGAAGCTGAGGCAGAAGAATCGCTTGAACCCAGGAGGCGGAGATTTCAGTGAGCCAAGATGGTGCCACTGCACTCCAGCCTGGGTGACAGAGCAAGACTCTGTCTCAAAAAATAAATAAATAAAATAAAATGTGGCCAGCTGTGGCTCACCGCCTATAATCCTAGCACTTTGGGAAGTTGAGGTGGGTGGATTGCTTGATCTCAGGATTACAGACCAGCCTAGGCAACATAGTGAGACCTCATCTCAATAAATCAATAAATAGGCTGGGCGCAGTGGCTCATGCCTGTAATCCCAGCACTTTGGGAGGCTGAGGTGGGCGGATCACTTGAGGTCAGGAGTTCCAGACCAGCCTTGCCAACATGATGAAACCTTGTCTCTACTAAAAATACAAAAATTAGCTGGGCACGGTGGCACACACCTGTAGTCCCAGCTATTTGGGGGCCTGAGGCAGGAGAATCGCTAGAATCTGGGAAGTGGAGGCAGGCTGCAGTGAGCAGAGATCACTGCCACTGCACTCCAGCCTGGGCAACAGGAGACTCTGTCACAAAAAAAAAAAAAAAAAAAAAAGAGTTCAAGACCAGCGTGGCCAACATGGTGAAATCCCCATCTCTACTAAAAATATAAAAATTAGGGGTGCTGGTGCACACCTGTGGTCCCAGCTACTCAGGAGGCTGTGGCAGGAGAATTGCTTGAACCCCAGAGGCAGAGGTTGCAGTGAGCCGAGATTGCACCACTGCACTGCAGCCTGGGCGACAGAGCAAGACTCCATCTCAAAAAAAAAATAAAAATTAAAAAATAAATAAAATGTGAATATTTTCAATATGCCAGAATTACATCCTTGAAACAATTTTTATTTATTTATTTTTATTTTTATTTATTTATTTATTTATTTTTGGAAGGAGTCTCGCTCTGTCACCCAGGCCGGAGTGCAATGGTGCGATCTCGGCTCACTGCAACTGCCTCCCGGGTTCAAGCAATTCTCCTGCCTCAGCCTCTGAGTAGCTGAGGCAGAGAATCAGGTGCCCACCAACTTTCCCGGCTAATTTTTGTATTTTTAGTAGACATGGGGTTTCACCATATTTGCCAGACTGGTCTTGAACTCCTGACTTTAGGTGATCCCCCTGCCTTGGCCTCCCAAAGTTCTGGGATTACAGGCATGAGCCACTGTGCCCGGCCACAATTTTAATTTATGATGAAAATTTTTAGATACCTACTTAAAGATATATGAAGGAGTATATACTTCTTCAAAATTATTTCCCTGAGTATAGGTGCAGAATTTAAGACTGCTGCCCTGGCCGGGCGCAGTGGCTCACACCTGTAATCCCAGCGCTTTGGGAGGCCAAGGCAGGCAGATACCTGAGGTCGGAGTTGGAGACCTGCCTGACTAACATGGAGAAACCTTGTCTCTACTAAAAATACAAAATTAGCAGGGGGCGGTGGCGCATGCCTGTAATCCCAGCTACTCAGGAGGCTGAGGCAGGAGAATCCCTTGAACCCTGGAGGCAGAGGTTGCAGTGAGCCAAGATTGTGCCATTGCACTCCAGCCTAGGTAACAAGAGCAAAACTCCATCTCAAAAAAAAAAGACTGCTGCCCTAAGCTATCCAAGCATCTCCTCCATAGCCCCCAACACTCCCATTTCCCTCCTGTCTCCCCTCTCACCTCCTTGGTGGGGAAAGAAGATGTTTATAGGAAAGGTGGTCACAATTCCAGCTCCTCCTCCTTCTGAGGTGTCCCCAGGAGCCAGTCCCCTAACTTTGCCCATAGTAGTAACCACAGCAGCTTATAAGCAGCCTCCAGCATCAGCAGTGTCAGGAAGAGGGCCAGGAAGATAAAGAAAGCCTTGTCCAAGGCACGTCGCACGGGACCCCTGGGAGGGGAGGGACCCTGGGCAAATGCCAGGAACACATCCGCCTCGTCCACATCACCTTCCTCTGCCATCCTGACTCACAGTCAGACAGCTGGCTGGATCAGGGGGCTGGGATGCAAGGCCTTGCTCAGCACTGCCAGGATTAAGGAGCATGGCTGTGGCAAGTCCTGCACCTGCCAGTCCTGACCTTAATTCCCACACCTAAGAGAAAAGAGAAAGGACCCTATGAGCCTTCAGATCAATTATTTAAACATCCAGTGTGATGTGAAAGGTCTGGACTAAATGATCCATGAACTCTATTCAGCTTTTTCATAGTATAATTCTGTGATTTGGAAACTGAAGGCCCAACATGAAGGCATAAGCTAGAACTGCCTGTCACTCTGGGTCTCAAGTCTCAAAGACTCAAGGCTCAAAATCTTGGGCCCCAACTGATAGAGAGTGAGGAAATGGACCTACCATGCATCTGTGAGCCATGGTCAGTCAAGGATCTAAAGCCCCTTCTGGCTGGATGGTAGGGGGTGAGATGGTCTATCCTAACCAAGGCGGGTAGGAACAAGCAGAGGGGACTTGAGTTCTCACAGGAGTAGTTCTCCCCACTGGGTCTGCAGGCAGCTAAGTTTGAGATGGTATAACCCAGAACACTCTCTTCCTAACTTTTGGTCTCTGCAGTACCAAGGGAGGATTATCATTGACTGCATGAGCCCAAGGGGAGGCTTATAAAAAGACAAAGACCGTGATGGATCAGCAGGGCAAGGGTATGTGATTGGGACTTGGCTGTTGGGTTGGGGTTATTTTACTTTACTTTACTTATTTATTTACAGACGGAGTCTCGCTCTGTCTCCCAGGCTGGAGTGCAGTGGCACGATTTCGGCTCACTGCAACCTCTGTCTCCTGGGTTCAAGAAATTCTCCTTCCTCAACCTCCCAAGTAGCTGGGACTACAGGCATGTGCCACCATGTCCGGCTAATTTTTTTGTATTTTTAGTAGAGACGGGGTTTCACCATGTTGGTCAAGCTGGTCTGGAACTCCTGACCTCAAATGATCCACCCACCTTGGCCTCCCAAAGTGCTGAGATTACAGGTGTGAGCCACTGCACCCAGCCAGGGTAATTTTAAAGAAGAGTGAAGTTTTGCCATCGATGGTCCAGGTCTCAGAGGCTACCAGTGGAGGATGTGGTTGAGGAGGTTGTAGGAGCAAGGACTGAAGACCTTTTCTTTTCTTTCTTTTTTTTTTTTTTTTTGACTGATTGAAGACCTTTTCTTAGGCCAGGCGTGGTGGCTCACGCCTGTAATTCCAGCACTTTGGGAGCCCGAGGCGGATGGATCAATTGAGGTCAGGAGATCAAGACCAGCCTGGCCAACATGGTGAAACCCTGTTTCTACCTAAAATACAAAAATTATCCGGGAGTGGTGGCGCATGCCTGTAATCCCAGCTACTCGGGAAGCTGATGCAGGAGAATCTCTTGAAACTGGGAGGCGGAGGTTGCCATGAGCTAAGATCATGCCGCTGCAACTGCACTCCAACCTGGGTGACAGAGTGAGACTCCGTCTCAAAAAAATAAAAATAAAAAAAGAAGATGTTTTATTGACCCTGTTCCCCAGGCATTGGCCTGAAGGTTGGGTAATGAAATTGAAGCCCATCTGGAAACAAGGGATTCGCCCAAGTGAGGCTGAGGGAGGGGAGGGGGAACGGTGGAGGAAGCAGTGTGTGTAGTAGTGAACCTTATACTGGGAACCTTTGGAGCCTCCTACCTAAACTATTTCATTTTCATTTTCACCTCAATAGGAAGATCTTGTTCCTTTTTTTTTTTTTTTAACCGGATCTTTTTTTTTTTTTGAGATGGAGTCTCGCCCTGTCCCCCGGGCTGGGGTGCAATGGCACGATCTCGGCTCACTGCAACCTCCGCCTCCCGGGTTCAAACCATTCTCCTGCCTCAGCCTCCCAAGTCGCTGGAATTACAGGTACGTGCCACCACGCCTGGCTAATTTTTTGTACCTTTAGTAGAGACGGGGTTTCACAGTGTAGGCCAGGCTGGTCTCGAACTCCTGACCTCGTGATCCACCCACCTCAGCCTCCCAAAGTGCTGGGATTACAGGCATAAGCCACCGCACCCGGGCTACAGGATCTTGCTCTGTCACCCAGGCTGGAGTGTAGTGGCTCAAACGTGGCCCACTGCAGCCTTGATCTCCCCAGCTCAAGCAATCCTCCCATCTTAGCCTCCTGAGTAGTTGGGACCACAGGTGTGTGTCACCACGCCTGGCTCATTTTTGAATTTTGTAGAGACAGGGTCTTTCTATGTTACCCAGGCTGGTTTTTAACTCCTGAGCTTATTAAACAATCCTTCCACCTCAGCCTCCCATCATTCTGGAATTACAAGCATAAGCCACCATGCCTAAGAATACCTTCTTTACTTGGGAAGTCAGGTCACCCCCCAAAAGAGCAGAAATGATGTTATAATGTTGTTTTGAGGGCTGGGCGCGGTGGCTCACGCCTGTAATCCCAGCACTTTGGGAGGCCGAGGTGGGCGGATCACAAGGTCAGGAGATTGAGGCCATCCTGGCAAACACGGTGAAACCCCGTCTCTACTAAAAATACAAAAAATTAGGCCAGGCGCGGTGGCTCACGCCTGTAATCCCAGCACTTTGGGAGGCCGAGGCGGACAGATCACGAGGTCAGGAGATCGAGACCATCCTGGCTAACACGGTGAAACCCCGTCTCTACTAAAAATACAAAAAATTAGCCAGGTGTGATGGCGGGTGCCTGTAGTCCCAGCCACTTGGGAGGCTGAGGCAGGAGAATCACTTGAACCCGGGAGGCAGAGTTTGCAGTGAGCCAAGATCATGCCACTGCACTCCAGATTGGGCGATACAGTGAGACTCCGTCTCAAAAAAAAAAAAAAAATACAAAAAATTAGCCGGCTGTGGTGGCGGGAGCCTGTAGTCCTAACTACTCGGGAGGCTGAGGCAGGAGAATGGCATGAACCCCAGAGGCGGAGCTTGCAGTGAGCCGAGATTGCTCCACTGCACTCCAGCCTGGGCGACAGAGCGAGACTCTGTCTCAAAAAAAAAATGTTGTTTCAAGTCATGCCGCATTGTCTTTTGCTGCAGCTGCAAAGGAGTCTCGAAAAAGTGAAAAAACCCTGGACTAGAATTTAAACTGATCACTTAGTTGTGTGAAGCTGTGGACAAGTCACATGACCTTTCTTTAGTGTTTTGTTTTGTAATAAAATCAGAAAAAGCTCTTGCCTCCCAGAATTATTCTGAGAGATAAATGAAATAAAGGTTTTTTGATGTTGTTGGTTTTTTGTAAATTATAAAGCACTATGTAAATGTAACATATTAATCTGATACCCTCACTTACATCCCAGGCAAGTGTGCAATAAGGCCACACAAACACCTTTATTGTCTCTTTACATGGTAGGTTCAGCACCAACATCTTGTGTAATAAATAAACCTAGCATCTTGTTGGAATTTTTTTAATTTTGAAATAATTTTCAGCTTACAGAAAAATTTAAGAACAGTTCCAAGAACTTTGGCATGTACCTCTTTCACTCAGATTTTCCATTTGTCAACACTTGGCTGTATTTGTTCCATCTCGCTCTCAACCCCAGTATAACCATGTGTTACAGGTTGAATTGTGTCTCCTAAAAATTCATATGTTGTGCAGCCATAAAAATGAATAAGGGCTGGGCTGGGCGCAGTGTCTCATGCCTGTAATCCCAGCACTTTGGGAGACCGAGGCGGGCAGATCACAAGTTCAAGAGATCGAGACCATCCTGGTTAACACACTGAAAGCCCATCTCTACTAAAAATACAAAAAACTAGCCGGGTGTGGTGGTGGGCGCCTGTAGTCCTAGCTACTCAGGAGGCTGAGGCAGGGGAGTGGCTTGAACCCGGGAGGCGGAGGTTGTGGAGAGCTGAGATCGCACCACTGCACTCCAGTCTGGCAACAGAGTGAGTTGTTGCCAAAAAAAAAAAGAAAAAAGAACAAGATCAGGCCAGGCACGGTGGCTTATGCCTGTAATCCCAGAACTTTGAGAGGCCAAGGTGGGCAGATCACAAGGTCAGGAGTTTGAGACTAGCCTGGCCAACATGGCAAAAACCCATATCTACTAAAAATACAAAAATTAGCTGGGCATGGTGGCAGGCCCCTATAATTCCAGCTAGTGACATGGGAGGCTGAGGCAGGAGAATCACTTGAACCCAGGGGGCCGAGGTTGCAGTAAGCTGTGATCTCACCATTGCACTCCAGCCCCAGTGACAGTACGAGACTCCTCTCAAAAAAAAAAAAAAAAAAAAAAAGGTGAAGAATTCATTTGTTCGCATGTTCTCACTTACAAGTGATGATGAGAATACACGGACACACGGTGGGAAACAACACAACTGGGTCCTGTCTGGGGGAGTGGGGGAAGGAAGGGCACCAGGAAGAATAGCTAATGGATGCTGGGCTTAATACCTGGGTGATGGGATGATCTGTGCAGCAAATCACCATTGCACACGTTTACCTATGTAACAAACCTACACATCGCACACATGTACCCCTGAACTTAAAATAAAAGTCGAAGGAAAAAAATAAAATTTATATAATGAAGTCCTAACTCCCAGTTCCTCAGAATGTAACCTTATTTGGAAATAAGGTTGTTGCATATGTAATTGGTTCAATGAGGTCATACTGGAGTTGAGTGGGCCTCTCACCCCCTTTATTAGAAAGGAAGTTTGGACATAGGCTTGCGGATAGAGAGAATGACATGTGACCATGAAGGCAGAGATCAGGTTGATATGTCAAAGATTGCCAGCAGGCCAGGCACCATGGCTTATGCCTGTAATCCCAGCACTTTGGGAGGCCAACACAGGTGGATCACCTGAGGTCAGGAGTTCGAGACCAGCCTGGCCAACATAGTGAAATCCCATCTCTACTAAAAATACAAAAAATTGGCCGAGCACAATGGCTCACGCCTGTAATCCCAGCACTTTGGGAGGCTGAGGCGGGCAGATCACGAGGTCAGGAGTTCAAGACCAGCCTGGTCAACATGGTGAAACCCTGCCTCTACTAAAAATACAAAAATTGGCAGGGCATGGTCATGGGCACCTGTAATTCCAGCTATTCTGGAGGCAGGAGAATTGCTTGAACCTGGAGGCGGAGGTTGCAGTGAGCTGAGATCGTGTCACTGCACTCCAGCCTGGGCGACAGAGCGAGACTCTGTTTCAGAAAAAAAAAAAAAAAAATACAAAATGTTAGCCGGGCGTGGTCGTGGGTGCCTGTAATCCCAGCTACTCAATCGGGAGGCTGAGGCAGGAAAATTGCTTGAACCTGGGAGGCAGAGGTTGCACTGAGCCGAGATCTTGCCATTGCACTCCAGCCTGGGTGACAGAGCAAGATTCCGTCTCAAAACACACACACACACACACACACACACACACACACACACACAAAAGACTGCCAGCAAACCACCGGAAACTAGTAGAAAGGCCTGGAACAGATTCTCCCTTACACCCCTCAGAAAGAACCAACCCTGCCTACACCTTGATCTCAGACTTCCAGCCTCCAGAACTGTAAGGCAATACATTTCTGCTGTTTAAGTCTCCCAGTTTGTGATACTTTGTTATGGCAGCCCTAGCAAACTAAAACACCATTCTAATCAGGAAATCAATATCACTCTTCAATTCATAGATCCCATTCAGATTTCACCAGCTGTCCCAGTAATGACCGCCTCTTCTTTTTTAAATTATCTTTTTTTTTTTTTTTTTTTTTGGAGACAGGTCTGTCACCCAGGCTGGAGTGCAGTGGTGCGATCTCGGTGCACTACAACCTCCACCTTCCGGGTTCAAACAATTCTCCTGCCTCAGCCTCCCAAGTAGCTGGGACTATAGGCACACGCCGCCACAGCCAGCTAATTTTTTGTATTTTAGCAGAGACGGGGTTTCACCATGTTGTTCAGGCTGGTCTTGAACTCCTGAGCTCAGGCAATCCACCCGCCTAGGCCTCCCAAAGTGCAATTATCTTTTCTTTTAACAGCTGTTTTTTTCTTTTTCTTTTTTTTTTTTTTGAGATGAGGTCTCACTCTGTTGCCCAGGCCAAAGTGCAGTGGTGCTATCAAGAGCTCACTGCAGCCTCAAACTCCTGGGCTCAAGTGATCCTCCCACCTGAGCCTTCCAAAGTGCTGGGACTACAGATGCGTGCCACCATACTTGGCCTATCTGTCCTTTCTAGTCCAGGATCACATACTGCATTTGACTGTCACATATCTATCTGTAGTCTCCTTCAATCTGGGAAGTTCTCAGTCTTTCCTTGTCTCTCATGAATTTGACAGTTTTGAAGAGGTCTTTCATTTCTTTCTTTTTTTTCTTTTCTTTTCTTTTTTTTTTTAAACAGGTTCTTGCTCTGTCGCCCAGGCTAGAGTGCAGTAGCAGGATCATAGCTCACTGCAGCCTCAAATTCCTCGGCTCAAGCAATCCTCCCACCTCAGCATTCTGAGTAGCTGCGGCTACAGGTGTGTGCCAGCACATCCGGGGAATTTAAACATTATTTGTAGGCTGGGCACAGTGGCTCATGCCTGTAATCCCAGCACTTTGGGATGCCGAGGCAGGCAGATCACAAGGTCAGGAGTTTGAGACCAGCCTGGCCAGCGTGGTGAAACCCCATCTCTACTAAAACTCCAAAAAATTAGCCAGGCATGGTGGCACATGCCTGTAATCCCAGCTAGCTACACAGGAGGCTGAGGCAGGAGAATTGCGTGAAACCGGGAGGCAGAGGTCACAGTGAGCCGAGATTGTGCCAATATGCTCCACCCTGGGAGTCAGAGCAAAACTCCATCACAAGAAAAAAAAAAAAAAAGACAGGACTTTCTACTTGCTAGCCTCTCTATTGCTGGCTTTGATGATGTAAGATGCCATATTGGAGAAACCCACATGGCAAGAAACTAGGTGTGGTCTCCAAACACTAACCAACAGGGAACTGAGACCCTCAGTCAAAAAACCCTTTAGAAACTGAATCCTGCAAACAGCTATGTGAGTGAGCTTAGAAGCAAAACCTTCCCCAGTTAAGCTTTATTTTTATTTTTATTTTTATTTTTTTTGAGACAGAGTCTTGCTCCGTCACCCAGGCTAGAGTGCAATGTGCTATCTCGCCTCATTGCAACCTCCACCTCCCAGGTTCAATCGATTCTCCTGCCTCAGCCTCCCAAGTAGCTGGGATTACAGGTGCCCGCCACAACACCCAGCTAATTTCTGTATTTTTAGTAGAAACCGGGTTTCACCAGGTGGGCCAGGCTGGTCTGGAACTCCTGACCTCAGGTGATGCACCTGCCTCAGCCTTCCAAAGTGCTGGGATTACATGCATGAGCCACTGAGCCCGGCCCTGAGCTTTCAGATGAGATCACAGGCAACTCATAGACTGCAGTCTTATGAGAGCCTCCGAAGCAGAGGATCCAGCTAAGCTGTTCCCAGATTTCTCCCCCACAGAAGCCATCAGATAACAGTGTGTTGTTTTGAGCCACCGGGTTTTGGGGTAATTTGTTACACAGCAATAGATAACTCATACACTGTGCTAGAATTGAGCACCAGATCTTCAGTAACAGATACACCCATATATTCCTTCCAAATTTATTCTTTTAACATTTATGATATGTGGGGCCTTCTGAAATGTGGGGCTCCAGGCAGGATCTCCTCTTGCTTGGATATAAGAGCAGCACTAGAATTAGTCTATCAGTCTTCACATTTTCTTGCTTGCATGCTCCTTAAAAACATTTTGGAAAATTATGTGCCATTTTGTATATATTTTTATTTGGCATCTAATTTTTTTCCTTGTTGATTTAAATAACTGCAAAGAGTATAACAAATCGGCTTGGTGCAATGGCTCACACCTGTAATCCCAGTACTTTGGGAGGCCGAGGCAGGTGGATAACGAGGTCAGGAGTTCAAGACCAGCCTGGCTAACATAGTGAAACCCTGTCTGTACTAAAAATACAAAAATTAGCTGGGCATGGTGGCGTATGCCTGTAATCCCAGCTACTCGGGAGGCTGAAGCACAAGAATTGCTTGAACCTGGGAGGCGGTGGTTGCAGTGAGCCGATATCATACCACTGCATTCCAGCCTGGGCAACAGAGCGAGACTCCATCTCAGAAAAAAAAAAAGAGTGTAACAGATCTTGTGTCTTATATAAATATTGACATTGTAAAATAAAACTGTCAACTGGGCACGGTGGCTCACGCCTGTAATTCTAGCACTTTGGGAGGCCGAGGCAGGCGGATCACGAGGTCAAGGGATCGAGACCAGCCTGGCCAACATGGTGAAACCCCATCTCTACTAAAAATACAAAAATTAGCTGGGCGTGGTGGCACGCGCCTGTAGTCCCAGCTAATGAGGAGGCTGAGGCAGGAGAATAGCTTGAACCCAGGAGGAGGAGGTTGCAGTGAGCTAAGATCACACCACTGCACTCCAGCCTGGCTGACAGAGCCAAACTCCATCTCAAAAAAACAAAAACAGGCTGGGTGCGGTGGCTCACGCTTGTAATCACAGCACTATGGGAGGCCGAGACAGGCGGATCACGAGGTCAGGAGATCGAGACAATCCTGACTAACACGGTGAAACCCCGTCTCTACTAAAAATACAAAAAAATTAGCCGGGCATAGTGGCGGGCGCCTGTAGTCCCAGCTACTCGGGAGGCTGAGGCAGAATGGCGTGAACCTGGGAGGCGGAGCTTGCAGTGAGCCAAGATCGCGCCACTGCACTCCAGCCTGGGCAACAGAGCCAGGCTCCATCTCAAAAAAACAAACAAAACAAAAACAACAAAAAAAACAAAAAACTGTCTGGCTGGGTGCAGTGGCTCACGCCTGTAATCCTAGCACTTTGGGAGGCTGAGGTGAGTGGATCACCTGAGGTCAGGAGTTCAGACCAATCTGGCCAACATAGTGAAACCTTGTCTCTACCAAAAATACAAAAATTAGCCAGGCATGGTGGCACATGCCTGTAATCCCAGCTACTCCCGGGTTCAAGCAATTCTTGTGCCTCAGCCTCCCAAGTAGATGGGATTACAGGTGTGCACCACCACACACCTGGCTAATATTTTTGTATTTTTAGTAGAGATGGGGTTTCACCATGTTGGCTAGGCTGGTCTGGAACTCCTGACCTCAGGTAATCTGCTCGCCTCAGCCTCCCAAAATGCTGGGATTACAGGCATGAGCCACCACACCTGGCCACAAAATAAATAAGGAAATAAATAAATATATATATGTAAAATATATATATGTAATATATGTAAAATATATATGTTATATATGTAAATATATATATATATACACACATATAGTTTGTTTGTTTTTGAGATGGAGTTTTGCTCTTGTTGCCCAGGCTGGAGTGCAATGGCACGATCTTGGCTCACTGCAACCTCCGCCTCCCGGGTTCAAGCGATTCTCCTGCCTCAGCCTCCTGAGTAGCTGGGAATACAGGCATGCACCACCACGCCTGGATAATTTTTTATTTTTAGTAGAGATTGGGTTTCTCCATATTGGTCAGGCTGGTCTCGAACTCCTGACCTCAGGTGATCCACCCACCTCGGCCTCCCAAAGTGCTGAGATTATAGGTGTGAGCCACTGCACCCAGCCCGCTCTGTCTTAAATATGAGTGCCCAGTTAAGGAACACCAGATATTTGAGGAAGACTTCAGACATGAGCAAAAACCCAAAATTAAAAGTAAAAACGACACAGCATTGTGCTCTTCGCCTTCCCTCATCGTCTGGCGCAGGGCAGCCCACTTCTGGTGTTTGGCGCTGGAATTAAACAACCACCATGTGGAGCAAAAAGGCAAGACCAAGACCACCAAAAAGCGCCCTCAGCGCACAACATCCAACGTGTTTGCCATGTTTGACCAGTCACAGATTCAGGAGTTCAAAGAGGCCTTCAACATGATTGATCAGAACAGAGATGGTTTCATCAACAAAGAAGATTTGCATGATATGCTTGTTTCCCTAGGGAAGAATCCCACCGATGCATACCTTGATGCCATAATGAATGAGGCACCAGGGCCCATCGATTTCACCATGTTCCTCACCATATTTGGTGAGAAGTTAAATGGCACAGATCCTGAAGATGTCATTGGAAATGCTTTTGCTTGCTTTGATGAAGAAGCAACAGGCATTATTCAGGAAGATTACCTGAGAGAGCTGCTGATAACCATGTGGGATCGGTTTACGGATGAGGAAGTGGATGAGCTGTACAGAGAAGCGCCTATTAACAAAAAGGGGAATTTCAATTACATCGAGTTCACATGCATCCTGAAACATGGAGCAAAAGACAAAGACGACTGAAAAGAACTTTAGCTAAAACCTTCCAACTACATTGTCTTACTCTGTTTTATTTCTCAGACACTTCCCCCATCCTCATAGAACCTGTTGCATGCAACTTAGTTTCACAGCTTTGCCTCTTTTTTTTTTTGATGTATTTATTCCAGACCTTTCTGTCACACAGCACTTGTATAATCAGACTGAAAATGGGGATGAGGGTGTAAATTGTATTGAAAAAGAGATCATGGCCGGGCGCAGTGGCTCACACCTGTAATCCCAGCAACTTGGGAGGCCGAGGCGGGTGGATAACCTGAGGTCAGGCGTTCAAGACCACGCTGACCAACATGGTGAAACCCCGTCTCTACTAAAAATACAAAAAGTTAGTTGGGCGTGGTGGCGGGCACCTGTAATCCCAGCTACTCAGGAGGCTGAGGCAGGAGAATCGCTTGAACCCAGGAGGCAGAAGTTGCAGTGAACCAAGATCACACCGTTGCACCCCAGCCTGGGCAACAAGAGCAAAATTCAGTCAAAAAAAAAAAAAAGAAAGAAAGAAAAGAAAAGAAGGCCAGGCACGGTGGCTCACGCCTGTAATCCCAGCACTTTGGGAGGCTGAGGCGGGTGGATCACGAGGTCAGGAGATCGAGACCATCCTGGCTAACACGGTGAAACCCCGTCTCTACTAAAAATACAAAAACATTAGTCAGGCATGGTGGTGGGCTCCTGTTGTCCCAGCTACTCGGGAGGCTGAGGCAGGAGAATGGCATGAAGCCAGGAGGCAGAGCTTGCAGTGAGCCGAGATTGAGCCACTGCACTCCGGCCTGGGCGACAGAGTGAGACTCCGTCTCAAAAAAAAAAAAAAGAAAAGAAGAAAAAGAAAAAGAGATAGCAAATAAAAATCAACAAATGTGAAAAAAAAAAAGTAAAAACAAACATGGAGGAAAGAGACAGAAGAGGAAAACTTCATATAAACTGTAATAAATTTCCACACTGATGAGAGAAAATGAGTATCAGAAGAAGAAGAAGAGTTGTAAGATCAACAGGATATGAGAAATGAAAACTTGAGCCAGGTGCAGTGGCTCACACCTGTAATCCCAGCACTTTGGGAGGCTGAGGCAGCCAGATCACTTGAGGTCAGGAGTTCAAGACCAGCCTGGCCAACATGGTGAAACCCTGTCTCTACTAAAAACACGAAAATTAGTCGGGTGTGGTCATGGGTGCCTGTAATCCCAGCTATGCAGGAGGCTGAGGCAGGAGAATCGCTTGAGCCTGGGAGGCGGTGGTTGCAGTGAGCCGAGATCGCACCACTGCACTCTAGCCTGGGTGACAGAGTGAGACTCCATCTCAAAAAAAAAAAAGAAGAAAAAAGAAAAAAAAACTTGAACCCAATTATAAGATCTAGATTTTGGCCAGGTGCGGTAGCTCATGCCTGTAATCTCAACACTTAAGAGGCTGAGGTAGGAGGATTGCTTGAGCCCAGACATTTGAGACCAACCTGGGTAACATAGGGAGACTTGTCTCTACAAATAATTTAAAAATTAACAGGCAGGGCGCAGTGGCTCATGCCTGTAATCCCAGCACTTTGGGAGGCCAGGGCAGGCAGATCATGTGAGGTCAGGAGTTCGAGACCAGCATGACCAAAATGGTGAAACCCCATCTCTACTAAAAATACAAAAAAAAATTAGCGGGGCATGGTGGCTCGCACCTGTAATCCCAGCTACTTGGGAGGCTGAGACAGGGGAATTATTTGAACCCAGCAGGTGGAAGTTGCAGTGAGCCAAGATCGCACCATTGCATTCCAGCCTGTGTGACAGAAAGACTCTGTCTCAAGAGGAAAAAAAAAAACATTAGCCAGGGCCGGTCGCGGTGGTTCATGCCTGTATTCCCAGCACTTTGGGATCCCAAGGTGGGCAGATCACTTGAGGTTAGGAATTCGAGACCAGCCTGACCAACATGATGAAACCCCGTCCCTACTAAAAATACAAAAAAATTAGCTGGGTGTGGTGGTGCATGCCTGTAATCCCAGTTACTCGTGAGGCTAAGGCAGGAGAATTGCTTGAACTTCGGAGATTTTGCAGTGAGCCAAGATTGGGCCACTTGCACTCCAGCCTGGGTGACAAAGCAAGACTTCCTCTCAAAAAAAAGAAATCCATGGCCGGGCGCAGTGGCTCACGCCTGTAATCCCAGCACTTTGGGAGGCCGAGATGGGTGGATCACGAGGTCAGGAGATCTAGACCATCCCGGCTAACATGGTGAAACCCCATTTCCACTAAAAATACAAAAAATTAGCCAGGCATGGTGGCGGGCACCTCTAGTCCCAGCTACTTGGGAGGCTGAGGCAAGAGAATGGTGTGAATCCGGGAGGCGGAGCTTGCAGTGAGCCGAGATTGTGCCACTGCACTCCAGCCTGGACAACAGGGAGAGACTCTGTCAAAAAAAAAAAAGAAATCTCAAAAAAGAAAGAAAAATGGCCAGGCACAGTGGCTCATGCCTGTAATCCCAGCAGTTTGGGAGGCTGAGGTGGGCACATCAACTTAGGTCAGGAGTTCGAGACTAGCATGATCAACATGGTGAACCCTGTCTCTACTAAAAATACAAAATTAGCCTGATGTAGTGGCACATGCCTCTAGTCCCAGCTACTCAGGAGGCTGAGACAGGAGAATCACTTGACAGGAGGCAGAGGTTCTGGTGAGCTGAGATCACACCATTGCACTCCAACCTGGGCAACAAGAGTGAAACCCCAGTTTAAAAAAAAAAGGAAAAAAAAAGAAAAAAAAAAAACCACGGTAGCGTGCACCTGTGTTTCCAGCTATTCAGGAGGCTGAGGCAGGAGGATCATCTGACCTGGAGGTCAAGGCTGCAGTGAGCCATGATCACACCACTGCACTCCAGCTTGGGCAACATAGTGAGACTCTGTCACGAAGCCTGCAGTGCAGTGACGAGATCTTGGCTCACTGCAATCTCTGCATCTCAGGTTCAAATGATTCTCTGCCTCAGCCTCCCAAGTAGCTGGGATTTACTGGCATTTGCCACCATGCCTGGCTAGTTTTTGAATTTTTTTAGTAGAGACAGTGTTTTGCCATGTTGGCCAGGCTGGTCTGTACCTAATTTTGTATTTATACTTTTGGTTTTTTTTTTTTTTTTGAGACGGAGTCTCGTTCTGTTGCCCTGGCTGGAGTGCAGTGGCGTGATCTCAGCTCACTGCAACCTCCGCCTCCTGGGTTCAAGCGATTCTCCTGCCTCAGCCTCCTGAGTAACTGGGATTATAGGCACTCACCACCGTGCCTGGCTAATTTTTATATTTTTTTTTAGTAAAGATGGGGTTTGGCCATGTTGGCCAAGCTGGTCTCAAACTCCTGACTTCAGGTGATCTGCCCACCTCGGCCTCCCAAAGTGCTGGGATACTTTTGGTATTCTTTCTCTTAAAACAGGTATCCAAAATTGTACACGTGTCAGCCTCCCACCAACCTACATCTGCTGCACTTGCAGAGATAGAGTCTATATATATAAGCATGTATTAATATATATAAGTGTATATGTATAAATGTATACATACATATAAATACATGATCACTACTCTTTTCCTTGCTTTTCCTCACTTAATACCTTGAAATCAAACAGAGAGGTGCTTCCTTCTTTTTTTTTTTCGGAGTCGGAGTCTTGTTCTGTTGCCCAGGCTGGAGTGCAGTGGCCCAATCTCGGCTCACTGCAACCTTCACCTCACAAGTTTAAGTTTTTCTTCTGCCTCAGCCTCCCAAGTAACTTGGACTACAGGCGCACACCACCATGCCTGGCTAATTTTTGTATTTTTAGTAGAGATGGGGTTTCACCATATTGGCCAGGCTGGTCTCGAACTCCTGACCTCATGATCCTTCTGACTTGGCCTCCCAAAGTGCTGAGATTACAGGCTTGAGCCACCACGCCCGGCCTCTTTTTTTTTTTTTTTTTTTAAATTTAATTTAATGGAGATGAGTTCTCTCAATATGTTGCCCAGAGTAGTCTCAAATTCTTGGGCTCAAGTGATCCACCTACCTTGGCCTCCCAAAGTGCTGGGATTATAGGAGTGAGCCACCGCACCCGACCCCTTGTTTGTTATAGTGCTCCCTTGACTCTCAAAAATGTCCAGTGTAGGCCAGGCGTGGTGGTTCACACCTATAATCCCAGCACTTTGGGAGGCCAAGGCAGGTGGATCACTTGAGGTCAGGAGTTTAAGACTTGCCGGGCTAACATGGTAAAACCCTGTCTACAAAAAATACAAAAATTAGCTGTGCGTGGTGGTGCGCACCTGTAATCCCAGCTACTCAGGAGGCTGACTGAGGCAGGAAGACTGCTTGAACCTGGGAGGCAGAGGCGGAGGTTGTAGTGAGCTGAGATTGTGCCACCGCACTCTAGAGCAAGACTCCATCTCAAAAAAAAAAATGTCTAGTGTAAATGTATGTTCTTTGAAGTAGAATTGCTAGGTCAAAGAATACGTAAATACTTGATTTGGGTAGATATTTTTAAAATGCTTTCTGTAGAAGCCGCACCAGTGTACCTTCCTTCCTGTCGGCAATGTGTGACAGTACCAGTTTCCTTTCCCCACCCCATCAGCTGAGTGTGTTATCAAACTTTTTTTTTTTTTTTTTTTTGAGACAGAGTCTCTCTCCATCGCTCAGCCTGGAGTGCAGTGGCATGATCTCGGCTCAATGCAACCTCCACCTCCTAGGTTCAAGCCATTCTCATGCCTCAGCCAATAGCTGTGATTACAGGTGCATGCCACCACCGGCTGATTTCTGTATTTTTAGTAGAGACAGGGTTTTGCCATGTTTTTTTGTTTGTTTTGAGACAGGATCTTTCTCTGTTGCCCAGGCTAGAGTGCAGTGGCATGAACATGGATGGTTCACTGCAGCCTCGACCTCCTGGGTTCAAGTGATCCTTTTGTCTCAGCCTCCCAAGTAGCTGGGATTCCAGGTGGGAGCCACCATGCCCTCCTAAACTCTACCTTTTGGTGAGAGTGACTAGCCACCAAGGCACACTGTAAAGGCCTCAGATAACAGGAAGTGGTAGAGAACTGCAGCCAATCTAACACCTAGACAAATTCAAGGTGGGACCTATCAGGTACTATGCTTGTTACTTGGGTGATTAAATTACCTGTACACCAAAGCCCCATGACACACACTTTACCTATATAAGGAACCTACACATGTACCCCTGAACCTAAAGTAAAAGTTAAAAAATAAAATAATATAATTCAAAGTTTGGGCTACAGAGTATAAGTGAGAGATATTCAGCTACTGGGAGTTTATAAAAGACACACAAACATCGCACAAGAGCAAAAGTCAATTTGAACATCCACCACAGCCAGAGGAAACCAAAACCACTTCCAGTGTATGGCCGTCAGGTAAAGCATTTTGTCCCCCTCACCTCCTCTGCTTCTGGCTGTGAGGGAGAGGGTGGAGAGTCAGACACAGGAAGGCAAGAAAGAAATTCTTGAGGAAGCCAGCCACTCTGCCAGTTTCACACTGGCAGCTTCCCATGTCAAACCACTCAGTCGGAGCTGGCCGAGAGAAAAAACGTAATTCAGAATGATGCTTGGAGGATTTTTTTTTTTGTTCCAAGGATTGAGCAGGTATGCTCTGTGGCCTGCCTGAGTTATCTTTCATGGGCAATGGAAGAACTAGCCCCACACAACATATTTAAAGGGGTGGGGACACTTGAGTGTGGGGGGTGCACAGCAACATATTCAAGCTTATGTACATGGCATCTGAGGTCGGGGCATGGAAGAATACTGAGGCACTGTGTGTATGTTATTTGTGCGTGAGAATGAAATTCCTTGACCCTGAAAACAGGACAGGGAGTGGAGTGTGTGGTGTGATAAGGAACGCTGAAAACAGCCTCCTGAGAATGCGGTTTGAGTGCTTTTACGAGGCCGCAGGTGTCTCACGACCCGACCTCAAAAAGCCATCTAGTGGATGTTTGTGGTTTAACAAGCACTTTCAATAAATACTTGGCAGACGGATGCTGGGGCGGGTTCTCTTAGAAGAAATGCCCCCCCCATTCCCCCGGCCCCACTCAGCTGGAATTGTCTAAGAACTCATTCTTGGCGTTCACTGCAAGCTATAAACTCTGCAAGTGGTGCACCCGACGTGATCGCCTTGAAGTTATGCGTGAAAGGAGGAGAGCTCATCAATTTTCAGAAAATCCCGGTAAGGGACAGTCCTGACTACCATCAGGTGGACAGGACCCACGCGAAAAATACCAGGGGTTCGGTTATCATGGGTCAGGAAATGAACAAAGAATAATTTTTTTTTTTTTTTGAGATGGAGTCTCACTCTGTCGCCCAGGCTGGAGTGCAGTAGCGTGATCCCGGCTCACTGCAACCTCCACCTCCCTGGTTCAAGCTATTCTCCTGCCTCAGCCTCCTGAATAGCTGGGATTACAGGTGCACGTCACCCCACAACAGGACTTAATTAACCTTGCCTTCAAGGTGTACAATAATAGAGAAAAGTTACAATTACTTGCCTCTGCTGTGAGACAAAACCCAGCTGCACCTCCAGCACACGAGAACTTCAAAATGCCTAAGCCGCACATGCCTAAACCGCAGTGGTCAAGCATTCCTACAGGACCTTCTTCATCAGGATCTTGCTTCAAGTGCCAGAAATCTGGCCACTGGGCCAAGAAATGCCCACAGCCCGGGATTCCTCCTAAGCCGTGTCCCATCTGTGCAGGACCCCACTGAAAATCAGACTGTCCCACTCGCCTCGCAGTCACTCCCAGAGCTCTGGGATCTCTGGCCCAAGACTCTCTGACTGACTCCTTCCCAGATCTTCTCAGCTTAGCGGCTGAAGACTGATGCTGTCCGATCACCTTCGAAGCCTCCCGGGCCATCACGGACACTTTGGGTAACTCTTACAGTGGAGGGTAAGTCACCCTTCTTAATCAATATGGAGGCTACCAACTCCACATTACCTTCTTTTCAAAGGCCTATTTCCTTTGCCTCCATAACTGTTGTGGGTATTCATGGCCAGGCTTCTAAACCTCTTAAAACTCCCCAACTCTGGTGCCAACTTGGACAATATTCTTTTATGCACTCCTTTTTAGTTATCCCCACCTGCCCAGCTCCCTTATTAGGTCGAGACATTTTAACTAAATTATCTGCTTCCCTGACTAATCCTAGGCTACAGCCACATTTCGTTGCTGCCCTTTTCCCCAGTTCAAAGCCTCCTTCACGTCCTTCTCTTTTATCTCCTCACCTTAATCCACAGGTATGGGACACCTCTACTCCCTCCCTGGTGAACTATCCACGCCCATTACTATCCCATTAAAACCTAATCACCCTTACCCCGCTCAATGCCAGTATCCCATCCCACAGCATGCTTTAAAAGGATTAAATCCTGTTATCACTCACCTGTTACAGCATGGCCTTTTAAAGCCTATAAACTCTCCTTACAATTCCCCCATTTTACCTGTCCAAAAACCAGATAAGCCTTACAGGTTAGTTCAGGATCTGCGCCATATCGACCAAATTGTTTTGCCTATCCACCCTGTGGTGCCAAACCCATATACTCTCCTATCCTCAATACCTCCCTCCACAACCCATTATTCTGTTCTAGATAAACCTAGCTGACCCCATAGATCCTAAATCCTTTCTCCTCTCCCCTTTCCATTCCTTAAAACACAGCTCCCACACTAGCTCTCCATGACTCATCCCGACCCTTTTCATTACACACAGCCGAAGTGCAGGGCTGTACAGTCAGAATTCTTACACAAGGACCAGGACCGCACCCTGTAGCCTTTTTGTCCAAACAACTTGACTTACTGTTTTAGGCTGGCCATCATGTCTCCGTGCAGTGGCTGCCACTGCCCTAATACTTTTACAGGCCCTCAAAATCACAAACTATGCTCAACTCACTCTCTACGGTTCTCATAAATCTATTTTCTTCCTCACGTCTAACACGTATACTTTCTGCTCCCCGGCTCCTTCAGCTGTACTCATTCTTTGTTGAGTCTCCCACAGTTACCATTGTTCCTGGCCAGGACTTCAATCCAGCCTCCCACATTATTCCTGATACCACACCTGACCCCCATGACTGTATCTCTCTGATCCACCTGACATTCACCCCATTTCCCCGTATTTCCTTCTTTCCTGTTCCTCACCCTGATCACACTTGGTTTATTGATGGTAGTTCTACCAGGCCTAATTGCCACACACCAGCAAAGGCAGGCTATGCTATAGTATCTTCCACATCTATCATTGAGGCTACTGCTCTGCCCCTCTCCACTACCTCTCGGCAAGCTGAACTCATTGCCTTAACTCGAGCCCTCACTTTTGCAAAGGGACTACATGTCAATATTTATACAACTCTAAATATGCCTTCCATATCCTGCACCACCATATTGTTATATGGGCAAAAAGAGGTTTCCTCACTACGCAAGGGTCCTCTGTCATTAATGCCTCTTTAATAAAAACTCTTCTCAAGGCCGCTTTACTTCCAAAGGAAGCTGGAGTCATTTACTCCAAGGGCCATCAAAAGGCGTCAGATCCCATCGCTCAGGGCAATGCTTTTGCTGATAAGGTAGCTAAAGAAGCAGCTAGCATTCCAAATTCTGTCCCTCACGGCCAATTTTTCTCATTCTCATGGGTCACTCCCACCTACTCTCCTGCTGAAACTTCTACCTATCAGTCTCTTCCCACACAAGGCAAATGGTTCTTGGACCAAGGAAAATATCTCCTAACAGCCTCACAGGCCCATTCTATTCTGCTGTCATTTCATAACCTCTTCCATGTAAGTTACAAGCTGCTAGCCCACCTCTTAGAACCTCTCATTTCCTTTCCATCGTGGAAATCTATCCTCAAGGAAATCACTTCTTAGTGTTCCATCTGCTATTCTACTACTCCTCAGGGAGTGTTCAGGCTCCCTCCCCTCCCTACACATCAAGCTCAGGGATTTGCCCCTGCCCAGGACTGGCAAATTGACTTTACTCACATGCCCCAAGTCAGGAAACTAAAATACCTCTTGGTCTGGGTAGACACTTTCACTGGATGGGTAGAGGCCTTTCCAACAGGGTCTGAGAAGGCCACTGCGGTCATTTCTTCCCTTCTGTCAGACATAATTCCTCGCTTTGGCCTTCCCACCTCTATACAGTCCAATAACAGACTGGCCTTTATTAGTCAAATCACCCAAGCAGTTTCTCAGGCTCTTGGTATTCAGTGGAACCTTCATACCCCTTACCATCCTCAATCTTCAGAAAAAGTAAAACAGACTAATAGTCTTTTAAAGACACACCTCACCAAGCTCAGCCTCCAACTTAAAAAGACTGGACAGTACTTTTACCACTTGCCCTTCTCAGAATTCGGGCCTGTCCTCGGAATGCTGCAGGATACAGCCCATTTGAGCTCCTGTATGGATGCTCCTTTTTATTAGGCCCCAGTCTTATTCCAGACACCAGCCCAACTCGGACTGCACCCCAAAAACTTGTCATCCCTTCTATCTTCTGTCTAGTCATACTCCTATTCACCATTCTCAACTACTCATAAATGCCCTGCTCTTGTTTACACTGCCGGTTTACACTGTTTCTCCAAGCCGTCACAGCTGGTATCTCCTGGTGCTATCCCCAGACCGCCACTCTTAACTCCCTCTTAAAGTAAATAAATAATATTTGCTGGCAGGGCACACTCCAATACTTTCACCCTGATGAAGTCCTATTCTTTACTTTTATACTCACTCCTATTCTTGTTCCCATTTTTATGCCACCCTCTACCTCTCCCCAGCTAGCTCCACCACACTATCAATCTCATTCACTCTCTCCTAGCCGTTTCTAATCCCTCATCGAACCATTGCTGAATTTGCATTTCCCTTTCTTCCTGCGCCTACACAGCTGTCCCCGCCTTACATACAGACTGGGCAACCTCTCCTATCTCCCTACACCTCCAAACTTCCTTTAACAGCCCTCACCTTTACCTTCCTAAAGAACTTCTTTACTTTCTAGACAGGTCCAGCAAGACTTCCCCAGACATTTCACTTCAGCAAGCTGCCGCCCTCCTCCACACTTACTTAAAAAACCTTTCTCCTTATATCAACTCTACTCCCCCCATATTTGGACCCCTCACAACACAAACTACTATTCCTGTGGCCGTTCCTTTATGTATCTCTCGGCAAAGACCCACTGGAATTCCCCTAGGTAATCTTTCACCTTCTCGATGTTCCTTTACTCTTCATCTCCGAAGCCCAACTACACACATCACTGAAACAATTGGAGCCTCCCAGCTCTGTATTACAGATAAGCCCTCTATCAATACTGGCAAACTTAAACACATTAGCAGTTATTATTGCTTAGGAAGACACTTACCCTGTATTTCACTCCATCCTTGGCTACCTTCCCCTTGCTTGTCAGACTCTCCTCCCAGGCCCTCTTCTTGTTTGCTTATACTCAGCCCCGTAAATAACAGTGAAAGGTTGCTCGTAGACACTCAAAGTTTTCTCATACACCATGAAAATCAAACCTCCCCCTCTACGTAGTTACCCCATCAGTCCCCATTACAACCTCTGATGGCTGCCGCCTTAGCTGGATCCCTAGGAGTCTGGGTACAAGACACCTCTTTCAGCACTCCTTCTCATCTTTTTACTTTGCATTTCCGGTTTTGCTCCGCACAAGGTCTCTTCTTCCTCTGTGGATCCTCTACCTACATGTGTCTACCTGCTAATTGGACAGGCACATGCACACTAGTTTTCCTTACTCCCAAAATCAATTTGCAAATGGGACTGAACATCTTCCTGTTCCCCTCATGACACCGACACAACAAAAAAGAGTTATTCCGCTAATTCCCTTGCTTGTCGGTTTAGGACTTTCTGCCTCCACTATTGCTCTCGGTACTGGAATAGTAGGCATTTCAACCTCTGTCACGACCTTCCATAGCCTCTCTAATGACTTCTCTGCTAGCATCACACACATATCACAAACTTTATCAGTCCTTCAGGCCCAAGTTGACTCTTTAGCTGCAGTTGTCCTCCAAAACCACCGAGGCCTTGACTTACTCACTGCTGAAAAAGGAGGACTCTGTATATTTTTTAATGAAGAGTGTTGTTTTTACCTAAATCAATCTGGCCTGGTGTATGACAACATAAAAGAACTCAAGGATAGAGGCCAAAAACTCGCCAACCAAGCAAGTAATTACTCTGAACCCCCTTGGGCACTCTCTAATTGGATGTCCTGGGTGCTCCCAATTCTTAGTCCTTTAATACCTGTTTTTCTCCTTCCCTTATTCGGACCTTGTATCTTCCGTTTAGTCTCTCAATTCATCCAAAACTGTATCCAGGCCATCGCCAATCATTGTATATGACAAATGCTCCTTCTGGGATTACAGGCGTGAGACACCGTGCCCAGCCATTTTTTTTTTCCTAAAGATGATAACCATTCTTTTCCAGCTGTCTTTTCTTTTTTTTTTTTTTTTTGAGACAGAGTCTCACTCTGTCACCCAGGCTGGAGTGCAGTGGCGCGATCTCAGCTCATTGCAACCTCCACCTCCTGGGGTTCAAGCAATTCTCCCACCTCAGCCTCCTGAGTAGCTAGGATTACAGGCACCCGCCATCATGTCCGGCTAATTTTTGTTTTGTTTTTTTTTTGGAGAGATGGGGTTTCACCATGTCAGCTAGGCTGGTCTTGAACTCCTGACCTTAGGTGATCCGCCCGCCTCAGCCTCCCAAAGTGCTGGGATTATAGGCGTCAGCCACCACACCGGGCGACAAATGCTCCTTCTAACAACCCCACAATATCACCCCTTACCACAAAATCTTCCTTCAGCTTAATATCTCCCACTCTAGGCTCCCACACCGCCCCTAATCCCGCTCGAAGAAGCCCTGAGAAACATCACCCATTATCTCTCCATACCACCTCCAAAAATTTTCGCAGCCCCAACACTTCACCACTATTTTGTTTATTAATATAAGGAGATAGGAATGTCAGGCCTCTGAGCCCAAGTTAAGCCATCATATCCCCTGTGACCTGCAGGTATACATCCAGATGGCCTGAAGCAATTAAAGATCCACAAAAGAAGTGAAAATAGCCTCAACTGATGACATTCCACCATTGTGATTTGTTCCTGTCCCACCCTAACTGATAAATATATTCTCCCCCACCCTTACGAAGGTACTTTGTAATATTCTCCCCTGCCCTTAAGAATGTAGTTTGTATGCCTATCCCAAACCTATAAGAACTAATGATAATCCCACCACCCTTTGCTGACTCTCTTTTCGGACTCAGCCCGCCTGCACCCAGGTGAAATAAACAGCTTTATTGCTCACACAAAGCCTGTTTGGTGGTCTCTTCACACAGACGCCGGTGACACTATTTTCCTAAGCCGTCTGGCTAGTAGCCCCTAATTGTTCAGCTATTCCTCTAACAGCATCTCTAGTGTAGTTAATAAATCGCTATTGGTTGTAATAGACGTAGTTTACCCAATCTACACTTTTATTAATTGTTACCCACCAAAATGTTGACTTAAATCCTGCAGCAATTTGATTTTGGGCTTTAAATTGATCTGGTATTCCCCATGGGACTCTTAATTGTGTCTAAATAGACGTGAGAGTCGAAAGACCCATAAAGGGCTTCTCTTGCTTTATGATACTTATTTTTCCTTCCTCTCGTTGATGAAATAACAGGGTGAAAGGGATAGCCAATTGGAATAAAGCACAAGTGCCATTCCAGTTATTTGGCAGTGTCCAGTAAAGATCCACCACAATACCACCACACATCCACTCGGGGATGAACAAGGGCTGACTGATTGATAAGCTCTTGAAAATTCTTAAGCTCACTGCATCCTTCAGGTCTCCAAGGAATGCTAAGTTTCCTCCCTATTGGGAGAGACACGAAGTGAACTTAGTGTTGGGAGACAGAAGCTGGATGGCCCTCGGGGGCTGACGCGCAGGGTGCCGGACTTCAGGATATAGCAGAGAGAGAGCTTGGCGTGAGTTATTACTCCAGGCTGTAGAATCCTGGAAAAGAGCTACCATGCAGCCCACACCTGGTCGACTGGAGGACCACCTTAGTGGAAAGGGGACAATCTGGGCCTCTGGCCTGCCATGTGCACAAGCATAACAATTGCTTTTGTTTAATGTGGACGGAATATTTGATCCATTCCAACCAGGCATTTGCATCTTGGTATCCTGTGTTAATTGCCAAAATGTTTTTTAAGTCTTTAACTTCTATGATCCTCTAGTAAAATGAATATATGGTTTTAGGAAATTACAAAAACTGATTGGGGCAGTCCATACTTGCTCTTTAGTGATCCACAGAACGTTGGACCGACTACGGCATAAAAGCTCTACATTGGGGGTCAAGAATCCTGGTTGACATTGGGATCTTTATCGAAATCCCCCCGGATTCAGTGGTCCTAATTTACTAATGCCCAGTGTGAGGAGAGTCAGGAGGGACAGAGGTACTTTTCAGAAGTAGAGAGCTGTCTTTGACTTGGCAAGTTCCTACGGGATATAACAAGGCAAGCACTAAATGCAATAGTTTGAGGCGAAATTGACTTGGTTATGTTAATAACTAGATGGTCAGCAATAGAGCGAGGAAAGGAGAAAGAGTAATAGAATAGATGAAAGAGTTAAATTTTTCTTAGCTTTAATTTGGTAGGGTTTCCCCCTGGGACTATGGCCCACAACTCTGGAGGGGGTGGTGCTTTCTTGACTCGGGTGTGATGAATCCATCCCTTTTTCGCTGTACAAACTGCAGTCTCGGTGGTTGGCAGCACAAGGTAGGGTCCTTCCCAGGCTGGCTCGAGTTTTCCTTCTTTCCACCCTCTGATGACAACATGATCTTCAGGCTGGTGCTGGTTTACCAGAAATTTTAGGGGTGGTACCTGTGCTAAAATATTTTTAGTTTTGAGGGAGAGGAAAGTGGAAGATAAACCAAGCATATAATTTCTAAGAAATCGACCTTTTGTTTTAAATGTGGGGACATCAGCAGTGGACTTTATAGTCCTTGGTGCCTTCTTACTGAGAAATTTCCTTTAGCACTTATTTTTATTAGTTTTTTTAGACCAAAGAACGCCAAACACCATTTTATATTTGACAGTGCTTCCTGTATGATTTTTATACCAGATAAGCTAAATTTCACCTTTATATTAGTGTGTTATTAATTTTTTTTTTTGAAACGGAGTCTCACTCTGTTGCCCAGGCTGGAGTGCAGTGGCGCGATCTTGGCTCACTGCAACCTCTGCCTCCCGGGTTCAAGCAGTTCTCCTGCCTCAGCCTCCCAAGTAGCTGGGACTACAGGCACACGCTGCCACGCCCGGCTAATTTTTTTGTATTTTAGTAGAGACGGGGTTTCACCTTGTTGCCCAGGCTGGTCGCGAACTCCTGAGCTCAGGCAATCTGCCCGCCTTGGCCTCCCAAAGTGCTGGGATTACAAGCGTGAGCCACCGCGCCCAGCCTATTAATGTTAAACTTAGTTTTAATAACACTTTGTAGACATATTTATCCAATTTTTAATGTCTGATCATAAGGTAAGTTTTTTTTTTTTTTTTTTTTTTTTTTTTTTTTTTGAGATGGAGTCTTGCTCTGTCGCCCAGGCTGAAATGCAGTGGCACGATCTCGGCTCACTGCAAGCTCCACCTCTCGGGTTCACGCCATTCTCCTGCCTCAGCCTCCCAAGTAGCTGGGACTACAGGCGCCCATCACCACGCCTGGCTAATTTTTTGTATTTTTAGTAGAGACAGGGTTTTACTTGTTAGCCAGGGTGGTCTCTATCTCCTGACCTCATGATCCACCCACCTCGGCCTCCCATAGTGCTGGGATTATAGGCGTGAGCCACCGTGCCCGGCCCATAAGGTAAGATTTTTATAGACTGTTTTTTTTTTTTCTTTTTGAGAAGGAGTTTCACTCTTGTTGCCCAGGCTGGAGTGCAATGGTGCAATCTTGGCTCACTGCAATCTCTGCCTCCCGGGTTCAAGGAATTCTCCTGTCTCAGCCTCCCAAGTAGCTGGGATTACAGGCATGCACCACCACACCCAGCTAATTTTGGATTTTTAGCAGAGATGGGGGTTTCTCCATGTTGGTCAGGCTGGTCTCGAACTCCCGACCTCAGGTGATCTGCCTGCCTCGGCCTCCCAAAGTGCTGGGATTACAGGCATGAGCCACTGAGCCTGGCCTGTTTTTAACTTTTTATAATTTTTGTTAAAGAGCGGGTTAGTGCTTTAAGAAAAACCCGTTGTGTTTTTATTTTAATGCTCAGTTCACAGAAAAACTGGGTGATACCCTTTTAACCTTAGCCAATATGTTTACACACATAATTTCCATTACAATTAACATTTTAAAACTTGCTTAAACCTTCAAAACAAATTTTTTTTTTTCTTTTTTGAGATGGAGTCCCACTCTGTCACCCAGGCTGGAGTGCAATGGTGCGATCTTGGCTCACTGCAACCTCCGCCTCCCACGTTCAAGTGATTCTCCTGCCTCAGCCTCCTGAGTGAGTAGCTGGGATTACAGGTGCCCACCACAATGCCCAGCTAATTTTCGTATTTTTAGTTGAGACGGGGTTTCACCAGGTTGGCCAGGCTGGTCTCAAACTCCTGATCTCAGGTGATCCACCCACCTCGGCCTCCCAAAGTGCTAGGTAGGATTACAGGTGTGAGCCACCATGCCTGGCCACAAAATTTTTTTTTAACCTTTTAATGTAGGTAAAAATCCACATTCTTATGCCTCCTTATAATCCTTTTACTAAAAGTATATTTTACTTTCCTTATACATCTTGCACATAAATTGTTTCTTCAATAGTTTTACATTCAGGGTAACACCCCTGGTGGCCTTTGGAATGTGTCCAGACTTGCTGGCTTCTTGCTTCTAGCACTCCCATTATCTCAAGTAGCCATACATTTCAAAGAAAATGCTAAACCATCACATCTGTAGTTCATTAGCTTGATACATCGCTTCCTTTCAACCCCCACATCCTCACCCCCTGTTTGTTTGATCACCAATAAATAGTGTGGGCTTCCAGAGCTCCGGGCCTTTGCAACCTCCATACTAGTGTTGGCCCCCTGGTCCCACTTTCTCTCTGAACTTGTGTTTTCTCATTCCTTTGACTCTGCTGGACTTCGTAGCCCCCACGGCCTGGTGTTGGGTCTGATCACCCCAAAAGGTTGATGGCCTTTTTTTTTTTTCCTGCATTGCTGAGAGCTTGGGTTATTCCTTGCACTGGGTAGGTCTTGATTTTTCACGCCTGAGGCCGCCACAATAGGGCGGGGTTCACCTCCTCAAGAGAGAGAACCAGAGACCACCCCCAGAGGGGAATGTAATCCCAGACAAGCCCCCAAATTGTTATATATAAAGTTTCGGTGCCGCAAAAGGAATATCACTCAAATATAAAATTTTCCTTTTAATTCTCAGCAAGGCTAGGTACTTCTATATAGAAGGGTGCACCCTTACAGATGGAACAATGGTGAGCGCACACTTGGACAAGGGAGGGGAAGGGGTTCTTATCCCTAATGCACGTGGCCCCTGCTGCTGTTTCGTTCCCCTATTGGCTAGGGTTAGACAGCACAGGCTAAACTAATTCTGACTGGCTAATTTAAAGAGAATGACGGGATGAGTGCTTTGGCGGGAGTCAGGGCAGAGCAGGTGGCAGGTGATCAAAATGAGTTAGGGTGGAGCAGGAGATCAGAATGAGTCAGGGTGGAGTAGGTAATCAAAAAAGATTGCTTTACGAGGAAGTTAAGTTTAAAAGTAGAAGGTAAAGAATTGAACATAATGACAATTATTTGAAAAGAAATTTAGAACTCATATCTAATACCCTGGAATATAAGAGGAAGTTGCATGCTGCCTCCTCGGTTTTATCCCAGGTAGCTCTAGCTTTCTTGCTGCCCACAGAGGCCTGGAGCAGGAGAGATGCTAAGATGCCATGGAGTGCCCATTTGGCCACTGGCAGTCTGGGCAGGTTGCCCCTTTCTGGGTTTGTGGTGACGGAGGGGAGGCCAAAAGGCGCAGACTGAGTCCCCAGGTGGCTGCAGGCAGCTCCAGCCCAGTCCTGAGGATCCTCCTCACCATGGTCACCTGCCTTAGTAACTGTGCCCAGGAAGTGGCCTGCTGCTTGCTGTGCTGCTGCTTTTCCTACTTCTGCCCTTCCCTGCCACCCCTCACATGTCTCAGTTGACAAGCAATTCCTTGTCTCCCCTGGCCCCCTAGGGAAAGGGCTAAGAAACAGTCCATGTACACCCCGACCTTACTAGCCTAAGGTGGGCAAAGGAGTGTGGAGCAGCCTAGAGTACAGAGCCCTGGGGGAGGAGCCCGCTAATAAGGGACTCTCTCCTATAGCCATATTTAAATGCTAGCTAGGCTGAGGTGGACAAGCTCTGCCAGCTGCTGTCATCTTCAGAAGATAGACGCAGCAGTAAGGAATATTTGTTTTGCTTTTTTATAAAATGTTTAAAAGCACTGTGGCTAAGAAACTTCAGGCCGGGCGCGGTGGCTCATGCCTGTAATCCCAGCACTTTGGGAAGCCGAGGTGGGCGGATCACGAGGTCAGGAGATCGAGACCATCCTGGCTAACACGGTGAAACCCCGTCTCTAAATTAGCCCGCTGTGGTGGCGGGCGCCTGTAGTCCCAGCTACTCGGGAGGCTGAGGCAGGAGAATGCTGGGAGTGGTGGCATGCGCCTGTAGTTCCAGCTACTCTGGAGGTCAAGATGGGAGTCCAGGGCGGTTGAGGCTGCAGTGAGCCAAGATCGTGCCACTACAACCCAGCCTGGGCAACGGAGCGAGACCTTGTCTCAAAAAATTAAAATAAAATAAAAACTCCCACAAGGAAGAAAGTAGTCATCTTTATAGAGTCCTCTCCATGTAGTGTTAGCACAATCGCTCAAGAGGCACCCAATGTAGAGAAACGACGGTGAGGTTAGCAGTACCAAGGAGCAGGGTTTGAATCCCGGCTCTTGCTCTTTTTTTTTTTTTTTTTTTTTTTTTTTTAGTATTTATTGATCATTCTTGGGTGTTTCTCAGAGAGGGGGATGTGGCAGGGTCATAGGATAGTAGTAGAGAGAAGGTCAGCAGATAAACACGTGAACAAAGGTCTCTGGTTTTCCTAGGCAGAAGTCCCTGCGGCCCTCGGCAGTGTTTGTGTCCCTGGGTATTTGAGATTAGGGAGTGGTGATGACTCTTAAGCATGCTGCCTTCAAGCATCTGTTTAACAAAGCACATCTTGCACCGCCCTTAATCCATTTAACCCTGAGTTGACACAGCACATGTTTCAGAGAGCACAGGGTTGAGGGTAAGGTTATAGATTAACAGCATCCCAAGGCAGAAGAATTTTTCTTAGTATAGAACAAAATGGTGTCTCCTATGTCTACTTCTTTCTATGCAGACACAGTAACAATCTGATCTCTCTTTCTTTTCCCCACATTTCCCCCTTTTCTTTTCGACAAAACCGCCATCGTCATCATGGCCCGTTCTCGATGGTCGCTGTCTCTTCAGAGCTGTTGCGTACACTTCCCAGACAGGGCAGCCTGGCAGAGGCGCTCCTCACCTCCCAGACGGGGTGGCCGGGCAGAGGCGCCCACTTCCCAGACGGGGCGGCCGAATCCCGGCTCTTTCATGTTTTAGCTGTTGGGCTTTGGGGAAGTTATTCTACCTCTTTCAGCCTGTGCACCCTGTCTCATCATTAAAAAATGAGAATGAGGCCAAGTGCAGTGGCTCATGCCTGTAATCCCAACGCTTGGGGAAGCGGAGGCAAGAGAATTGCTTGAGGCCAGGAGTTTGAGACCAGCCTGGGCAACATAATGAGATCCCAATCTCTGCAAAAAAATTTAAAAATTATCTGGGCATGGTAGCACACGCCTGCAGTTCCAGCTACTCAGGAGGCTGAGGTGGGAGGATCACTTGAGCCCAGGAATTTGAGGCTGTAGTGATTGCTCCACTGCGCTCTAGCCTGGGTGACAGAATGAGACCCTGCCTCAAAAAAAAAAAAAAAAAAGTGAAAAGTGAAAATGATAATACCTACTATGAAGGATTGCTTTAAGAAGAAATGAGATGATGTACACAAAAGTACATCACATATCGCTTAGCATGTGGCTGAGACTCAGAAAAAATCCTGGCTTTGTTTTCCTGCATTGGGAGTTTATTGTTGTCAAAGTGATGGTTCCAAGAAGTCAAAGGAGAGCCAGAGAACTGGACAGCTCAGCAGCAGTTGGTTTGGGTCACCAAATGCCTCTCTTCCCTCCCTATTGCCACTGACTTAGATCCTGGAGATGTAAGGTTTTAAAAACAGCAGCCTATTATCTTTTATTTTTGGTAATCCTTGTAACCTGGTTCCCTATCTTAATGAAAAAAACCAATGGTTCTGGCTTTATTACCTAAAGAAAGGAATGACAGTATAATACCAATTATAAATAAATGGGTCAAATTTTTGGCTTTAGAGTTTCAAAGACTTATGGCATTAAAAAAAAAAAAAAAGAAAAAATGGACCGGGCGCAGTGGCTCACGCCTGTAATCCCAGCACTTTGGGAGGCTGACGCGGGTGGATCACTTGCAGTCAGGAGTTTGAGACCATCCTGGCCAACATGGTGAAACCCCGTCTCTACTAAAAATACAAAAATTAGCCGGGTGTTGTGGCACGTGCCTGGAATCCCAGCTACTTGGGAGACTGAGGCATGAGAATCCCTTGAACCCGGGAGGCAGAGGTTGCAATGAGCTCACTGCACTCCAGCCTGGGCGACAGAGCAAGACTCTGTCTCAAAAAAAAAAAAGAAAAGAAAAGAAAAAAAGAGAAAATGAAGAGTTCCTTTTCTCAACACTCTCAT
The DNA here is from genome assembly GCF_000001405.40 of Homo sapiens. NCBI lineage: Eukaryota > Metazoa > Chordata > Mammalia > Primates > Hominidae > Homo > Homo sapiens. Next base: position 4,602,752 of record NT_167245.2, read on the forward strand.
CAATACATGCATGCACACACACTCTTGCATGCAGCCATGAATTCTCATGTGTGCATACACACATTCAAAGGACTAGATAAAGATTCTCCAGACTTTGCAATAGGGAAGTCAGGTGGAAGCAGGGAGCTAGAATGGATAATGTATGAAGAAACTATTAATGTGTTTTTTCCTTTTATACTCTTTTGCCTTCAGCAAGTAAATGACCTCTTTCTTATTTGGTTGTGGCATCAAACTGCTTGTGAGGAGATTAAGATTGTTTCAGAAGAAATATAAAGAGAAGGAAATGGTAATATGCATCTATTGAAATTCAAAATAGGATTTTGCAGCAAGACAATGGACTTGAAAACTGGACTATGAGAAAGAAATTGTTTTCTGCATTCATTTAGCTCCCATTTAACATAATCAAGAGCCAGATCTAGAATCAAGTTTCTACCAAAGGAGGAGGTAATTTAATCTCTCATCTTTGATTTCCTATATGTCCATAATGAGGATAATAACAGCTACCTCAACAGATTGTTTCCAAAGGGAACCCTTGTCTTTTGAAGTGGCAATTAGAGCTAGGAAGCCAAAGATAAGATATGAAAAGAATAAAAGAGAAGCCTACCACTTCTCATCTTGGAGTTTCAACAAGACGAAGGCAGGGAGGTGAGAGTCAAGGAGATGCCTTGGAATTGGGGGAATGGCTTCAGAAACATCCAGAAAACAGAAGAGATCACTGAAGCTGCTACAAAATTTTGCCCATTGTAGATAAGTGGGCAAATCAGGATGCACTGGCAGGGAGACAGGGTCTGTTTTGTGTTACCAGCCCTTTTCCAGTGATGGGTATTGAATTGAGAGCCATGGGCCTGCCATGGGGCATGGGGGGTAGGAAGAGGGTGACCTGGCAGCAGAGGCATGTGGTTTGCATAACTTGGTTAGGAGCTGAATGGGAGACATGGTAGAGATTCAGGGGTCCCACTGGGCTACCGAGAGCCACAGGGAGGTTGAGTCAGCCAGAAAGCACCAGTGAGATCAGATCCAGCCAAGAGATCCACGAGAAACTCTAAATGTTGACTTTAGCCAAAGGCCCCCAGGATGAATGTGACCAAGTACATACTGACTCATAAACCGGAGGAGCTGGAGGACACTCTGAGAACCCAAGGACCCTTGCTGTCCTCCTATACCTGTCCCCAGGAGATTGCTTAAGCCACTCTATTTATTTTCATGCTCATGGGTTTGTGAGTTGTCTGTGGTTTGTCTAATCAGGCTGGGCTTGACAGGGCTTGGTAGGACTCCTTTAGTCCTGGTCCAGTGTCTATTCTGGGTCACAGCTGAAGGGGCAATGGATATCTGGAATTTGCCTTTCTCTTGTCAGATCACAGGAGTGCAAGAGGCCAAGCCAAACTACAAAAGCACATTGAAAGCATCTGCTTGCATCGTGTCCTCTGACATTCTGTTGGCACAAGCAAGTCACACAGCAAAGGGGATGGATGTACACTTAAATAATAAGGAGGAAGCAAAGGATTGGGAATAACAGTCCAAACCACCACAGGGCCCTACCTACCCCCAAGAAGTAATATCCTCAGATTGATCTGGGAAATCCAAGAGCAGATGATGTTTCCCATGTGCCAAGAATATCAGTGGAGTATCACACAGAGGGCCCCAAAAGCCAGCACGCCAAGGATGATGGAGCAGGATGAAGAGACCCTGGGTCTTAGATAATATCGTTAGGGGGCTTACTGGCTGCTGACCTCCGGACATTTTTGAAATATGAAACAATTAAATGTCTTTATTAACTGACATTATTAGCTGAGTTTTCTGTTGCTTTCATCTGAATGCATCCTCACTGTTGCAGGACTCTATTTTTATTTTTATTTATTTATTTATTTTTGAGATGCAGTTTCACTCTTGTCGCCCAGGCTGGAGTGCAATGGTGCCATCTTGGCTCACTGCAACCTCCACCTCCCGAGTTCAAGTGATTCTCCCACCTTAGCCTCCCCAGTAGCTGGGACTACAGGCATGTGCCACTATGCCAGGCTAATTTTGTATTTTTAGTGGTGACAGGTTTCACCGTGTTGGCC